>NC_000024.10:6343225-6643635 GCF_000001405.40 Homo sapiens | reverse complement strand
CTTCCCACTCAATAAGCCACATAGTAACTGTCTTACAAAATGGAAGAGAATGAAAGAGTAGAAAACTGCAGAATCAAAGAGTAATTTTACAGGCAGGAAACCTGACACACATTATCTCAGCCAAGTGATTAAGTCAATATTAACAGTCATAAATCTCATTGATAGTATGTATTTTTGATATGATGTGGTGAAGTGAAACATCACCTCCATGGAATTCCTCCCAAGAACTCATAATCCCAAGTCTTATTATAATAAAAATATCAAATTCCAATATTGGAACATCCTACAGAATACCTGATAAATACTTCTGAAAATTGCCAAGGTCCTCGAAACCAAGAAAAGTCCAAGAAACTGCCACAGCCAAAAGCTACCTAAAGAGACATGGCAAATAGAGCGATATTATATCCTGGATGAGATCCTGGAGCACAAAAAAAGACATCAGGTAAAAATGAAGGAAATCTAAACTATAGACTTTAGTTCATAACAAGAAGTCAATATTGGCTCATTTATTTTAACAAATATACTAATGTAAATTATTAATTATAAAAAATGGGTGTGGGATATATAGGAATTGTATGTTCTATCTGCTCAATTTTTCTGTAAGCCTAAAACAATTTTAAAAATGAAATTTATCAAAAAGAACAAACACAGAGATTGGTAAAGTAATTTTTAAAAAACAACCAAATACATGGTTTTTACAAAATTATTTCAAATTTAATAACATGGAAAATTTAAAGAGAAAGAGGGACATATATACAATGCTCTACCTACTAACATCAGAATACACATATTTTTAAGTGACCATGAAGCATTCACCAACACAGAACATATTTTGGGCCATAAAACTGGAGTCAACAAATTTAAGAAAAAAATATGAAGATTGTTTTATCTGATCATAATGGTATCAAACTAGAAATCAATACCAGAAAGACAAAAGAAAATATTTAAACACTTGAGGATGCTAAATGACACATTTTTAAATAATTCATCTCTCAAAGAGGAAATTACAAAGAAAAAAATATATGTGTTTGTGTGTGTGATTTAAATGAAAATACAACATCCTGAAACTTGATGTATGTAGCTAAATCCATGTTGACAGGGAAATTTATCTTACTGAGTGCTTATATTAGAAAAATAGGAAAGTTAAGTCAATAGTCTAAGTTACTACCTCAAGAAAGTAGAAAATGGAAAGCAAAGTAAACAGTATAAGTAAAAAGAAGGAAATAATAATAATATGGACAGAAATCAAGGCAAATAACCAGAAAATAATGAAGAAAATAAATATAGTTATTTTTATATTAATAATATTTAGAAACTTCCATCAAGGCTAATAAAAATAGAGAAGATCCAAACCACCAACACCATAAATGAAAATAAAGAGAGACGTCACAAACCACCAACATCATGAAAGAAGCGAGGAATATTGTAACAGGTCCTGAAGAAATAAAATAATAATTAGAAAACACTAAAATGAACTTTATACTCATGAATTCAAGACCAACTTTATACTCATGAATTCAAGACCATGACTAACAAAACTCAAACAAGACCAAATACATAACCATATTCATTGTACAGCCTTTAAAGAAAGTGAATTAATAAGTAGAATGTTCCTGAAAAGTTCATCTTCAGGATCAGGTGATTTTAATTTTTCAAATGTTTCTAGTAAATATTCATTTCAACTTTAAATAATCTTTTCCAGAGAAAGTAATAAAAAGAAACATCTCATTTTATGAGATAAGTATTATCCTGATACTAAAGCCAGACAAAAACTATACAAAAATGAAAACTTAAAGAAGACTAATATGCCTTATGAAGATAAACACAAAAACCTTTAACAAAATACTAGTGAATGAAGTACAACAATATACAAACAGAGTTATTTACAATGACTGGAAAATTTATGTCAGGCAAGGCTGGTTAAATAATCAAGAATCAATCTACATAATAAATCATATCAACAGTCTAAGGAAGAAGAAAACTCATGTGATTATATAAATTGATACAGAAAGGTATTTTATATAACTCAACACAATTCAAAACACAAAACAAACCAACAAACACTCAGCAAGCTAGGATTAGAGAGAAAAACTTACACATCTTGATATAGAGCATCTACAAATGCTAACATCACTGAAGCATCATATTTATTAGAGCTAACATCATACTTAATTGTGAAAGCCTGAATACTTTCAGGGACAAGGCAAGGATGTCCATTCTCCTAACTCTTTTTCAACATGATATTAGAACTTTTGGCAACTGTAATAGGAAAATGAATAACGATAATATATATACAAACTGGAAAAAAAAGAAATTTTTATTTGCATATGCATGATTGTAGATGCAGGAACATTCAACAAGTCTACTAAAGAGAAGTTTAAAAATTACTAAAAGTAATAATTGAGTGTAGCAACACTGCAGCATACACAATTACCACACAATAATCAACTGCATTTCTATATACCAATAGTGACTACATGAAAATCATCTTTAAAACTGAAGTATCATTTATAATCTATCCAAAAATATTAAATACTTAGGTGGAGGCTTAACAAAACATAAAGGTTTTTCATGCTGACAATTACAAAATGCTAATGACATAAACAAAGAATTAAATAAATGGCAAGACATACCATGTCTATAAAATGGAAGATCAGCATGATAAAGATGTCAATTTTATCCTAAATGATTTATAAGTTTAAAGAATTTCCAATAAAAATTCCAGCAAGTTTTTTTTGCTTGTTTTTGTGTGTGTGCTTTAAAAAAAAACACACAAACAATCTTACTCTAATATTTATATCGAGAAAGTGATTCCAGAAGAAACTGTGGAGTTAAGTCCTTCAAAAATCTGTTCCTCCATAAAAAACTAAAACAAGACCACTGGAAAAAATGGTCAAAATGAACTATTCAGAGTTCTGGAAATTAACTAAATGTTTGCAACAATCCAAGGGACACTTATTCAATAGAAACACCTATGTCTCAATAAGGAGAGCAAGCTTTGTGGCATTTTTACTCTCCCTATTTTGATTCCACTTTCCCCAGTTCCATGGTGGCCTTGAAAACCAACAGTTCCACAAATAGCTAGCAGCCTAACAGGAACTGAAAATAGTAGAAAATGTTTGAAGCATGCAAAAGCATCATTTCTGAAGAATTGTCATTATTTGACCTGTTTGGCAGTACATGTAATGCCTCAATTGCAGAGCTCGTCTTTATTTGGCCTAAGATCTCATTCCATGGAAACAGTCTTTCTCCCAAGGAAGTCTGTCAGAAACAATTAATAAAAATGGTTTAGCATCCTAGTTTTTTGAAATACAGATAACAGTTGGGGCAAAAAGAATGGAATAAAAAAACTTAAAAAGAAAAGCTGAGAAATCAAGATTTACATATGGGACTTTGAAATATTCTGACATATACATGGGAATCCAGGAGGAAACGCAGACATAAGGTTGTGTATATACTCAGAAAAGAAAACTGAGAAAACCCTAAACTTTCACCTCTATCTTGCCTTGAGACTCTGTGTAAGCAGAAAGTGAAGGAAAAGGCAGAGCTCCCAACTATATGATAGAATGTCAAAGTTATGCTAAAATATGCATGCTGAGCCCTCTGGGTTAGGAGATTATTGATTCAAAATTTTTACTGAAATGTCTCTTTAATCATTAGCAGGGCTCTGTGGAGTAACCTCAGTGGTCACATGCAACAAAGAATGCAGATTGTCTTCAAACATTTGCACAAGAAGGATATGAACAGACACTTCTCAAAAGAAGACATTTATGCAGCCAACAAACATATGAAAAAAGCTCATCATCACTGGTCATTAGAGAAATGCAAATCAAAACCATAATGAGATACCATCTCATGCCAGTTAGAATGGCGATCATTAAAAAGTCAAGAAAACAACAGATGCTGGAGAGGATGTGGAGAAATAGGAAAGCTTTTACACTGTTGGTGGGAGTGTAAATTAGTTCAACCATTGTGGAAGACAGTGTGGTGATTCCTCAAGGATCTAGAACTAGAAATACCATTTGACCCAGCAATCCCATTACTGGGTATATACCCAAAAGATTATAAATCATTCTACTATAAAGACACATGCACACGTATGTTTACTGCAGCACTATTCACAATAGCAAAGACTTGGAAACAATCCAAATGCCCATCAATGATAGACTGGATTAAGAAAATATGGCATATATATACCATGAAACACTATGCAGCCAATAAAAAAAAGGATGAGTTCATGTCCTTTGCAGGGACATGGATGAAGCCGGAAACCATCATTCTCAGCAACTAGCACAGGAACAGAAAACCAAACACCACATGTTCTCACTCATAAGTGGGAGTTGAATAATGAGAACACATGGACACAGGGAAAAGAACATCACACACTAGGGCCTGTTGGGAGCTGGGGGGCGAGGAGAGGGATAGCATTAGGTGAAATACCTAATGTAGATGTCGGGTTGATGGATGCAGCAAACCACCATGGCACATGTATACCTATGTAACAAAACTGCACTTTCTGCACATGTACCCCAGAACTTAAAGTATAATTAAAAAAAATACTTCAGTCTGGGTGGTTTTTAAAAAACGGAAATGTCTTTTTCACAGTTCTGGAGGCTGGGAAGTCCAAATCACAGTACAAACAGATTTATTGTCTAACGAGGGACCATTTTTCTTCATAGATGGCAACTTCTTTCTGTGTCCTCTCATGATAGAAAGGGCCAAAAAGCTTGCTGGGATCTCCTTCATAATATCACTAATTTTATTCATGAGCACTCCACCTTCATGACCTAATTATGACCTAATATTTCAAAGATCCCATCTCCTAACATTGTTGCATTGGTGATTAGATTACAACACATGCATTTGGTGGGGAGTAGGAGGGACAAAAACTTTCAAACCATAACACAGATCTTAATGAGTTAATTTAGGAAAGTCACAAAGACATAAACAGCAGCAGCTGCAACAAAAGCAACAATAACAAATTGCAGCAACACCAAACACCATACCTAGGTAAAAAGAACGAAACTGGAGGAATCATATTATCTCACTTCAAATTATACCACAGATCTATATTAACCAAAACAGCATGGTACTGGCATGAAAAACACATAGAACAATGGAACAGAATAGAGAACCCCAAAACAAGTCCACACACCTACAGCAAACTCATTTTTGATAAAGGTGCCAAAAACATACACTGGGGAAACAGAATTCTCCTCAATAAATAGTTCTGGAAAAATTGGATATTCATATGCAGAAGAATGATACTAGACCCTTATTTCTCACCATATACAAAAATTGAATCACAATGAATTAAAGACTTACATTTAAGACTGAACCGTGAAATTATCATAAGAAAACATTGGGAACAATCTGTGCTACTATATGATCCAGCAATCTCATTGCTGGGTATGTGCCAAGAGAAAGAAAATCATTATATCAAAGAAATATCTGCATTCCTATGTTTCTCAGAAAACTAAAAATTGAGCTATCTTATGATCTAATAATCATGCTGCTTAGTATATACCCCAAAACTGGAGATCAATATATAATAGAGACATCCACAATCCTATGTTTGTTGCAGCACTGTCTACAATAGCTAAGACTTGGAAGCAACCTAAGTGTTCATCAATAGATTAATGAATAAAATATGTGGTGTATATACACAATGGAGTACTATTCAGCCATAAAAAAGAATGAAATTCAGTCATTTGCAACAACATGAATGGAACTGGAGATCATTATGTTAAGTGAAATAAGCCAGGTACAGAAAGACAAACATTGCATGTTCCCACTTATTTATGGGATCTAAACATAAATAACATTGAGATTACGGTCATAGAAAGCAGGAAGATAGTTACTGGAGACTGGGAAGAGTTGCAGGGGTTTGAGGAAAACATGAGGATGATTAATGAGCACAAAAAAAAAATAGAATAAATAAGACCCACTATTTGATAGCACAGTAGCATGACTACAGTCAATAAAAATTGTATATTTTAGAATAACTTAAAGAATGTAATTTGATTGTCTATAACTCATAAATGTTTGACAGGATAGTTACCCCATACTTCATGATATACTTATTTCACATTGCATGTCTTTATCAAAATATATCACATACCCTATAAATATATACATGTACTGTGTATCCACAAACATTTTAGAAAATAATAATGAAAAAAACTTAATTAATGGTATTGGAAAATAATATATGAAGGATCTGTTTCTTCTCTAGCTTGGCCTGATTATTAGGTAAAGTTTTGAGTTTTCTTTCATGTTGTATTTTTAGGGTGTGTGTGGGTTGGAGAGGCATTATAATTTACAAACAGTAAAATGTACCCTCTTCCCTATAGAGTTCTATGATTGCTGACAAATATATCCAACCATATAACTATCAGAAAAGGCAAGATATAGATTTGTTCCATTACCCTAAAACATTTTATTATGCTCTTTGTAATCAATTCTTACCCCCAGTACCTGACAACCACCCATCAGTTTTCTCTTCCTATTGTTTCATCTATTTAAGAATGTCATATTAATGAAATTACGTATAATACACACTTTTAATGTATGTTTTTGCTTTACAGAATACATTCGAGATTCATCCATGTTGTTGGTTGTTGAGTGTATTCATAGTTGATTCCTTAATTGCCGAGTAGTATTCTGTTGTATAGATAGATGTACTGTTGTCTGCTTATTCATTAACCCATTAAGGGGAATTATGTTGTTTCTGTTTTCTGGCAATTATGAATATAGCAGTTGTAAAAATTATTGTACAGTTTGTTTTTCGTGTGTGAACTTAAAATCTTATTTCACTTGGGAAATCACCTAGCAGTAAGATTACAAGGTAACATGTTAAGTGTATGATTAATGTTCTAAGTAACTACTAAACAGTTTTCTCAAGTAGCAATATAATCTTGCTTTCCGACCAACAGTATGTGAGAGATCCAGTTGTTCTATATCTTCATCAATGCTTGGTATGTCATTGAAAAAAATGTTTTTGCCATTCTAATGCATGTTTGGAGAAATCTCATGTTTTTCCCCTGGCAATTCCCTGATAACTAATGGGGTTAATTTTTCACATTCTCGTTTGCCATATGAATATTTAATTTATTCAAATGTCCATTGATATGTATTGTTCTTTTTTGAAAAATTGTTGTTTACACAATGTTGAGATTTGAATGTCCTTTATACATTCTGGTTATATGTCCCTTGTCAGATATATGATCTGAAAATATTTTCTCCCAGAAAAAGTGTGAATTTTCTTTCCATTATTAACAGTGTATTTGAAAGAGCAGAAGTTTTTAGTTTGGATACTGTTCAATTTATCTAGATTTATTCTTCTGTGAATATGCTTTTTGTAAAATATGTAATATATATATTTTTGTAACTCCAAGAGGAAAACATTTTCTCTTACATTTTCACCTTGAATTTGTCTAGTTTGCAGTTTTATATTTAGGTCTATGAAACATCATGAGCCAGTTTTTGTATATAATGCATTTTGTATTAATTCTATTTTTATTGGCACTAGAGGAGCTAAACTTCCATGGGGAAAAAATACAAACCTTGACCTAAACCTTACCCCTCATGTAAAAATCCATTCAAAATAGATCATGGACCTAAATATAAAGCACACACCTGAAAACTTTTATTAAAATCATGGTAGAATATCCTTGGGTCCTATGGCTAGTGAAAGTGTTCTTAGATTTTATAACAAAATCCAAATCCATAAAACTTTGCTACATTGGACATAATTAAAATTGAAACTAAAAACATTTGCTCTTTGAAGGTCCATGTGAAGAAGAAAAGACAAGGAACAGACTGGGAGGAAATATTTGCAAACCACATATCCAACAACAGCAACAACAAAACTTGTATCTAGAGCCTATAAAGTACTAATAGCACAATATTAAATAATTAAATAACCCAATCATAAAATGGGTTAATAATCTGAATATACATTTCTGCAAAGTGGCTCTCTAGATAGTATTATAAACACACAAAAGTATTTTAAACATCATTAACCATTATTTCCACCAATTCTCTTTACCATAATAAAAGCTTCCAATGCTCAAGTTAATGTTCAGATATCTCCTAAAACAATTGTTTGAAACATCATAGTTAAAATCTTTTAAAGCTAGCAAATTAAATATTGTAAGGGTACAAAAAAGAATCAGAATTTAGTCCGGAGTGGCTGATCATTCACATTGCTAACTTTGATGAAATTAAATTTCTGTGAAGCTCCATTACTTTGGTTTTCCTAATATCATCAGATATTCTATGTGTCTTCATTTGAAGAGTTTAAGCCTATCTCATACTTAATTAGAATTTTTAAGGAAGAAGTAGTAGAGTAAATATTTTTATAAACTTGATAATTTAGAGCAGTTTTAAATAAAAATAAAATCGTATGTTTTCCATATACTCTGCATCCAGTTTCTCCTATAACTAGTATCTTATATTAGAAAAATAGATTTGTTATAATTAACAAACTAGTATTGATATCTTATTAACTAAAGTCCACATTTATGCACATTTTCATAGTTTTTACTGCATGTCCTTTTCCTATCTTAGATTCCCAAACATAATACCACACTATATTTAGTAGTCATGTCTCCTTTGGCTCCATGTAGCTATGATGGTTTCTCAGATTTTCCATTTCTGTTCTGATGACTTTGACAGTTTTGAGGAGTTCAGGTTATTTTGTAGAATGTTCCTACATTGCAATTTCTTTGATGTTTTTCTCATTAGGCTGGGATAATTGGTATCTGGTTGCAAGATCACAGAGATTAAATGCCTTTCTTGTCATAGTATATCAAGAATATATGCTATCAATATGACTTTTTAATGTTGATATTAATCACTTGGCTATGGTAGTTTGTCAAGTTGCTACACTGTAGTTCCTTTTTTTATTCCTTTGTAATGTGTATTTTTTGGAAGAAAGTCACAATATAAAGACCACATCTAAGAAACTGGGAGATGAGCTCTGCTTCCTTAAGGTGAATGTATCTTAACAAATTATTTGTAATTCTTCTGCAGAGGAGATTTTTCTATTCTCCCTTGTCTATTTATTAATTCATTTTTAATATCTGTATGGACTTGTAAGTATTTATTTTATAATTTTAGCTATAATGCA
The DNA here is from genome assembly GCF_000001405.40 of Homo sapiens. NCBI lineage: Eukaryota > Metazoa > Chordata > Mammalia > Primates > Hominidae > Homo > Homo sapiens. The sequence goes on along the minus strand of NC_000024.10, from coordinate 6,634,502 downwards.
ATACTACTATATTCATTTTGTTCTGTCTGTCATCAATACGATGTTCTTTGTAAGTTTTCCTATCTGCCTGATTACATAAAGGATGTTTCCCTCTGAGATGATTTGGATCTGTTTCCCCATCCAATCTCACATTGAAATGTAATCCCCATTGTTGGAGATGGGGCACGTGGAAAGTGTTTAGATCATGAAAATGTGTATCCCTCATGAATGACTTAGCACCATCCCCTTAGTGATGAGTGGGTTCACACAAGATCTGGTTATTTAAAACTCTGTAGGATTTCCCATTCTCTCTCTTGCTCTAGCTCAAGCCATGTGATGTGCCAGTTCCCACTTTGCCTTCCACCATGAATAAAGGCTCCCAGAGGCCTCACCAGAAGTCCAGCAGATGCCATCACCATACTTTCTGCAAAACCTGCAGAACTGTTAGCCAATTAGGTTTATTTTCTTTACAATTTATCCAGTTTTGGTCATTTCTTCATAGCAATGCAAGACTGGGCTAACACACCTTCTATTCCTGATTTTTGAGTTTTTAATCGTAAAGGGATATTAAATTTTGTAAAATGTATTTAATGTATCTATTGATATGATTTCTGATATTTAGCCTGCTAACAAGATAAATTACATTGATTGATTTATGAATGTAAAACCATACTTGCATTCCTATAATGAATAAGTTGTGGTGAATTACTCTTTTTATATCTTACCATTTTTGATTTGCTAATACTTTAAAGGATTTTTGTATATACTCTGTGTTCATAAGATATGTTGGTATTTTTTTAACCGTAAGTGTTATTTAGAGCTATATTCTCTATTTTATAAATAGTTCAGGTTTTATGGCCATATTTCAGTTACTGATTTCTACAGTAAATCTGTTACCCTCTGAGAACGTACTTTACATAATTTCTAGCATTTTCAACCTGCAAATGTTTATTTTATGGCCTATACTGTGATGTATCTTCATGAGTGTTCCATCCTGATGAGTGTTCCATCTGCACATGAGAAGAACGTGTATTCTTATGATGCTGTACAGAATATTCTATAATGCCAATTTGTTGATAGTGTTGTTCAGTTTATCTTTAGCCTTATCATTTTCTGCCTGCTCTATTTATCATTTACTGACAAGGGAGTGTCAAACTATGCAACTATAATAGGATATTTGTCTATTTCTCCTTTCAGTTCTATAAATTTTTGCATATATTTTGATGCTGTTTTGTTAGGTACACACCATTTTATGATTATGTCTGCTTTGAGAATTGATCCTTTTTTCATTATTTAATGTTTCTTTTACTCCTGATACTCTTTTTTGTTCTGAAGATTGCTTTGTCTGAAATTAATAGAGGTAATTCAGCTTCTTTTTATGCTTTGTGTTTGCATGATATATCTTTCTTCATCATTTTATTTAACTTCTAAAAGTCTTTATATTTAAATTGGGTTTGCTCTACACAGCATATAATTAGGTATCATATTTTTGTTTTGTTTTCTTGATACTGTTTTTTGTTTCTTAATCTAATCTACAATTTATGATTTTTTTATGCCATTGAACTAACAAATGTGCATTTTGTCTTTACTACATATGTATGTCCCCATAAACAAATATTCTATTAATTTGTGTGTTTTAATTTATATATGTTGCTTCCTACTCTAAGTACCCTTTTGAAGGTTTGATTTTTACTTAACATTATCTTTTCTTTTGTTTTCTTTTTCTTTATTTATTATTATTATACTTTAAGTTTTAGGGTACATGTGCACAATGTGCAGGTTAGTTACATATGTATACATGGGCCATGCTGGTGCGCTGCACCCACTAACTCGTCATCTAGCATTAGGTATATCTCCTAATGCTATCCCTCCCCCCTCCCCCCACCCCACAACAGGCCCCATTGTGTGATGTTCCCCTCCCTGTGTCCAAGTGTTCTCATTGTTCAATTCCCACCTATGAGAACATATGGTGTTTGGTTTTCTGCCCTTGCAATAGTTTGCTAAGAGTGATGGTTTCCAGCTTCGTCCATGTCCCTACAAAGGACATGAACTCATCATTTTTTATGGCTGCATAGTATTCCATGTTGTATATGTGCCACATTTTCTTTATCCAGTCTATCATTGTTGGACATTTGGGTTGGTTCCAAGTCTTTGCTATTGTGAATAATGCCACAATAAACATACGTGTGCATGTGTCTTTATAGCAGCATGATTTATAGTCATTTGGGTATATACCCAGTAATGGGATGGCTGTGAAAATGGTATTTCTACTTCTAGATCCCTGAGGAATCGCCACACTGACTTCCAGAATGGTTGAACTAGTTTACAGTCCCACCAACAGTGTAAAAGTGTTCCTATTTCTCCACATCCTCTCCAGCACCTGTTGTTTCCTGACTTTTTAATGATTGCCATTCTAATTGGTGTGAGAAGGTATCTCATTGTGGTTTTGATTTGCATTTCTCTGATGGCCAGTGATGGTGAGCATTTTTTCATGTGTTTTTTGGCTGCATAAATGTCTTCTTTTGAGAAGTGTCTGTTCATGTCCTTCGCCCACTTTTTGATGATGGGGTTGTTTTTTTCTTGTAAATTTGTTTGAGTTCATTGTAGATTCTGGATATTAGCCCTTTGTCAGATGAGTAGGTTGTGAAAATTTTCTCCCATTTTGTAGGTTGCCTGTTCATTCTGATGGTAGTTTCTTTTGCTGTGCAGAAGCTCTTTAGTTTAATTAGATCCCATTTGTCAATTTTGTCTTTTGTTGCCATTGCTTTTGGTGTTTTAGACATGGAGTCTTTGCCCATGCCTATGTCCTGAATGGTAATGCCTAGGTTTTCTTCTAGGGTTTTTATGGTTTTAGGTCTAACGTTTAAGTCTTTAATCCATCTTGAATTAATTTTTGCATAAGGTGTAAGGAAGGGATCCAGTTTCAGCTTTCTACATATGGCTAGTCAGTTTTGCCTGCACCATTTATTAAATAGGGAATCCTTTCCCCATTGCTTGTTTTTCTCAGGTTTGTCAAAGATCAGATAGGTGTAGATATGTGGCGTTATTTCTGAGGGCTCTGTTCTGTTCCACTGATCTATATCTCTGTTTTGGTACCAGTACCATGCTGTTTTGGTTACTGTAGCCTTGTAGTATAGTTTGAAGTCAGGTAGCGTGATGCCTCCAGCTTTGTTCTTTTGGCTTAGGATTGACTTGGAGATGCGGGCTCTTTTTCGGTTCCATATGAACTTTAAAGTAGTTTTTTCCAATTCTGTGAAGAAAGTCATTGGTAGCTTGATGGGGATGGCATTGAATCTATAAATTACCTTGGGCAGCATGGCCATTTTCATGATATTGATTCTTCCTACCCATGAGCATGGAATGTTCTTCCATTTGTTTGTATCCTCTTTTATTTCCTTGAGCAGTGGTTTGTAGTTCTCCTTGAAGAGGTCATTCACATCCCTTGTAAGTTGGATTCCCAGGTGTTTTATTCACTTTGAAGCAATTGTGAATGGGAGTTCACTCATGATTTGGCTCTCTGTCTGTCTATTGTTGGTGTATAAGAATGCCTGTGATTTTTGCACATTGATTTTGTATCCTGAGACTTTGCTGAAGTTGCTTATCAGCTTAAGGAGATTTTGGGCTGAGACAATGGGGTTTTCTAGGTATACAATCATGTCGTCTGCAACCAGGGACAATTTGACGTCCTCTTTTCCTAATTGAATATCCTTTATTTCCTTCTCCTGCCTAATTGCCCTGGCCAGAACTTCCAACACTATGTTGAATAGGAGTGGTGAGAGAGGGCATCCCTGTCTTGTGCCAGTTTTCAAAGGGAATGCTTCCAGTTTTTGCCCATTCAGTATGATATTGGCTGTGGGTTTGTCATAGATAGCTCTTATTTTGAAATACGTCCCATCAATACCTAATTTATTGAGAGTTTTTAGCATGAAGCGTTGTTGAATTTTGTCAAAAGCCTTTTCTGCATCTATTGAGATAATCATGTGGTTTTTGTCTTTGGTTCTGTTTATATGTTGGATTACATTTATTGATTTGAGTATATTGAACCAGCCTTTCATCCCAGGGATGAAGCCCACTTGATCATGGTGGATAAGCTTTTTGATGTGCTGCTGGATTCGGTTTGCCAGTATTTTATTGAGGATTTTTGCATCAATGTTCATCAAGGATATTGGTCTAAAATTCTCTTTTTTGGTTGTGTCTCTGCCTGGCTTTGGTATCAGGATGATGCTGGCCTCATAAAATGAGTTAGGGAGGATTCCCTCTTTTTCTATTAATTGGAATAATTTCAGAAGGAATGGTACCAGTTCCTCCTTGTACCTCTGGTAGAATTCGGCTGTGAATCCATCTGGTCCTGGACTCTTTTTGGTTGGTAAGCTATTGATTATTGCCACAATTTCAGATCCTGTTATTGATCTATTCAAAGATTCAACTTCTTCCTGGTTTAGTCTTGGGAGAGTGCATGTGTCGAGGAATTTATCCATTTCTTCTAGATTTTCTAGTTTATTTGCCTAGAGGTGTTCATAGTATTCTCTGATGGTAGTTTGTATTTCTGTGGGATCAGTGGTGATATCCCCTTTATCATTTTTTATTGCATCGATTTGATTCTTCTCTCTTTTTTTCTTTATTAGTCTTGCTAGTGGTCTATCGATTTTCTTGATCCTTTCAAAAAACCAGCTCCTGGATTCATTAATTTTTTGAAGGGTTTTTTGTGTCTCTATTTCCTTCAGTTCTGCTCTGATTTTAGTTATTTCTTGCCTTCTGATAGCTTTTGAATGTGTTTGCTCTTGCTTTTCTAGTTCTTTTAATTGTGATGTTAGGGTGTCAATTTTGGATCCTTCCTGCTCTCTCTTGTGGGCATTTAGTGCTATAAATTTCCCTCTACACACTGCTTTGAATGTGTCCCAGAGATTCTGGTATGTTGTGTCTTTGGTCTCGTTGGTTTCAAATAGCATCTTTATTTCTGCCTTCATTTCATTATGTACCCAGTAGTCATTCAGGAGCAGGTTGTTCAGTTTCCATGTAGTTGAGCAGTTTTGAGTGAGATTCTTAATCCTGAGTTCTAGTTTGATTGCACTGTGGTCTGAGAGATAGTTTGTTATAATTTCTGTTCTTTTACACTTGCTGAGGAGAGCTTTACTTCCAAGTATGTGGTCAATTTTGGAATAGGTGTGGTGCTGAAAAAAATGTATATTCTGTTGATATGGGGTGGAGAGTTCTGTAGATGTCTATTAGGTCTGCTTGGTGCAGAGCTGAGTTCAATTCCTGGGTATCCTTGTTGAATTTCTGTCTCGTTGATCTGTCTAATGTTGACAGTGGGGTGTTAAAGTCTCCCATTATTAATGTGTGGGATTCTAAGTCTCTTTGTAGGTCACTCAGGACTTGCTTTATGAATCTGGGTGCTCCTGTATTGGGTGCATATATATTTAGGATAGTTAGCTCTTCTTGTTGAATTGATCCCTTTACCATTATGTAATGGCCTTCTTTGTCTCTTTTGATCGTTGTTGGTTTAAAGTCTCTTTTATCAGAGACTAGGATTGCAACCCCTGCCTTTTTTTGTTTTCCATTTGCTTGGTAGATCTTCCTCCATCCTTTTATTTTGAGCCTATGTGTGTCTCTGCACATGAGATGGGTTTCCTGAATACAGCACACTGATGGGTCTTGACTCTTTATCCAATTTGCCAGTCTGTGTCTTTTAATTGGAGCATTTAGTCCATTTACATTTAAAGTTAATATTTTTATGTGTGAATTTGATCCTGTCATTATGATATTAGCTGGTTATTTTGCTTGTTAGTTGATGCAGTTTCTTCCTAGTCTCGATGGTCTTTACATTTTGGCATGATTTTGCAGTGGCTGGTACCGGTTGTTCCTTTCCATGTTTAGCACTTCCTTCAGGAGCTCTTTTTGGGCAGGCCTGGTGGTGACAAAATCTCTCAACATTTGCTTGTCTATAAAGTATTTTATTTCTCCTTCATTTATGAAGCTTAGTTTGGCTGGATATGAAATTCTGGGTTGAAAATTCTTTTCTTTAAGAATGTTGAATATTGGTTCCCAGTCTCTTCTGGCTTGTAGAGTTTCTGCTGAGAGATCTGCTGTTAGTCTTATGTGCTTCCCTTTGAGGGTAACCTGACCTTTCTCTCTGGCTGCCCTTAACATTTTTTCTTTCATTTCAACTTTGGTGAATCTGACAATTATGTGTCTTGGAGTTGCTCTTCTCGAGGAGTATCTTTGTGGCATTCTCTGTATCTCCTGAATCTGAATGTTGGCCTGCCTTGCTAGATTGGGGAAGTTCTCCTGGATAATATCCTGCAGAATGTTTTCCAACTTGGTTCCATTCTCCCCGTCACTTTCAGGCACACCAATCAGACGTAGATTTGGTCTTTTCACATAGTCCCATATTTCTTGGAGGCTTTGCTCATTTCTTTTTATTCTTTTTTCTCTAAACTTCCCTTCTCACTTCATTTCATTCATTTCATCTTCCATCACTGATACCCTTTATTCCAGTTGATCGCATCAGCTCCTGAGGCTTCTGTATTCTTCACGTAGTTCTCAAGCCTTGGTTTTCAGCTCCATCAGCTCTATAAGCACTTCTCTGTATTGGTTACTCTAGTTATACATTCTTCTAAATTTTTTTTCAAAGTTTTCAACTTCTTTGTCTTTGGTTTGAATGTCATCCCATAGCTCGGAGTAATTTGATCGTCTGAAGCCTTCTTCTCTCAGCTCGTCAAAGTCATTCTCTGTCCAGCTTTGTTCTGTTGCTGGTGAGGAACTGCATTCCTTTGGAGGATAGGTGCTCTGCTTTTTAGAGTTTCCAGTTTTTCTGTTCTGTTTTTTCCCCATCTTTGTGGTTTTATCTACTTTTGGTCTTTGATGATGGTGATGTACAGATGGGTTTTTGGTGTGGATGTCCTTTCTGTTTGTTAGTTTTCCTTCTAACAGACAGGACCCTTAGCTGCAGGTCTGTTGGAGTACCCAGCCCTGTGAGGTGTCAGTCTGCCCCTGCTTGGGGGTGCCTTCCAGTTAGGCTGCTTGGGGGTCAGGGGTCAGGGACCCACTTGAGGAGGCAGTCTGCCCATTCTCAGATCTCCAGCTGTGTGCTGGAAGAACCACTGCTCTCTTCAAAGCTGTCAGACAGGGACATTTAAGTCTGCAGAGGTTACTGCTGTCTTTTTGTTTGTCTGTGCCCTGCCCCCAGAGGTGGAGCCTACAGAGGCAGGCAGGCCTCCTTGAGCTGTGGTGGGCTCCACCCAGTTCAAGCTTCCCCTCTGCTTTGTTTACCTAAGCAAGCCTGGGCAATGGTGGGCGCCCCTCCCCCAGCCTTGCTGCCACCTTGCAGTTTGATCTCAGACTGCTGTGCTAGCAATCAGCAAGACTCTGTGGGCATAGGACCCTCTGAGCCAGGTGTGGGATATAATCTCCTGGTGCACCGTTTTTTAAGCCCGTCAGAAAAGTGCAGTATTCAGGTGGGACTGACCCGATTTTCCAGGTGCCGTCTGACACCCCTTTCTTTGACTAGGAAAGGGAACTCCCTGACCCCTTGCACTTCCCGAGTGAGGCAATGCCTTGCCCCGCTTTGGCTCATGCACGGTGCACACACCCACTGACCTGCACCCACTGTCTGGCACTCCATGGTGAGATGAACCTGGTACTTCAGATGGAAATGTAGAAATCACCTGTCTTCTGCGTCGCTCTCACTGGGAGCTGTAGACCGGAGCTGTTCCTGTTAGCCATCTTGGCTCCTCCTCAACATTATCTTTTCTATATTTATCCCTCTTGATACAAGTAAATCAACTGAATTCATTTCTAATATTATATACTATTTTCTTATAAAAATAAGCTATCTCTAAGTCACCCATTTTCCTATTGGCAGAAAGTTAATTTATTTACGCTTTATTTGCTGATATCAACAAGCGCTAAAGTAAATACTTTTTTTCATATGTTTCCTGGCATATATAAAATAGAACATATCTGATATAGACATTGAGGGTTGGAATTGTCTGGTCATGAAATATGCACATTTTTAATCTCACGAGATATTACCAAATGGCTCCCAAAAGTGATCATACCAATTAAAACTCTAATAAGTATTGTGTAAGAGTGTTCTTAAGTCTACATCTTTCCCTACATTGGTGTTTATCAGTTGATCATACTTCCCAATTTCTTTTTTTTTAAATTCAACTTTTTTTTTAGATACAGAACGTACATGTGCAGATTTTTTACATGGTTATATTGCACCCCGGTACTGACATATTACCCAATAGGTAGTTTTTCAACCCACCTCCTTCTTTCCATCTCCCCCATCTAGTAGTCCACAGTGTCTGTTGTTCCCTTGTTTGAGTCCTTGTGTGCTCAATATTTAGCTACTATTTATAATTGAGAAAATGTGTTACACATACGCCATGAAATACTACACAACTATAGGAAAAAAATAAAAGCATGTCCTTTGCAACAACATGGATAGAACTGGAGGCCATAATCCTAAGTGAATTAACACAGGAACAGAAAACCAATTTCTGATTTTGACTGGTGTATTTAGACTATTCAGGTATAAAGTGATTCCAAATATATTTGGAAGAAACTATATATACTATCTGTTTCTTTTTTTTTTTTTTTTTTTGAGACAGAGTTTCACTCTTGTTGCCCAGGCTGGAGTGCAATGGCATGATCTTTGCTCACCACAACCTCCACCTCCCAGGTTCAGGTGATTCTCCTGCCTCAGCCTCCCGAGTAGCTGGGATTACAGGCATGCACCACCATGCCTGGCTAATTTTGTATTTTTAGTAGAGACAGCATTTCTCCATGTTGGTCAGACTGGTCTTGAACTCCTGACCTCATGTGATCTGCCTGCCTCGGCCTCCCAAAGTGCTGGGATTACAGATGTGAGTCACGATGCCCAGCCTATTATCTTTATGCTTTGTATTAATTGCATTTGCTCTTTCTTTTAAATGTTTCCTTCTGTGGCTCTCTCTGCTATTTATTGAACATTTATTATGATGCCATTTGTCTTCCATACTGACATATCACTTATACTTCCTTTTCATTATTTTAGTGGTTGCCTGAGGGTTTACTATATACATTTTTAAACAATCTAAGTTCCTCTTTAAATAATACTATTTCATTCAGATATAGTGCAGGTAATTTATGGTATTCTTAATTCCTCTCTCATCTCTTCTGACACAGTCATTCATTTTATTTAAACATATGCTATAAATACTTCATACATTGTTATTATTATTGTTTTAAAGTGTCAATTATCTTTTGGGAAATTAAGAAAAACATAAAAGATATTTTACCTTTATTTATTTGTTGTGCTCCACTCTTCTTTTTTTTGTATATTCTCAATTTTTCTGACCTATATAAGTTTCTTTCTGTGAAGAACTTCCTTTAACAATTTTTGTAGGGCTAGTCTACTAGTAATAATTTTTTTTTTGAGAAAGGATTTTTTTTCAATCTTAAAGTACATGTTTTGCTGAGTATAGAATTTTTGATTGGCAGAATTTTTCTTTTAAAATTTTAAATATTGTATGCCATTATTTTCCTGTTGACATAATATCTGATAAGATGTCTTTGGCAATTCTTATCTATGTTTTGTTATGTGTGATAATTAATTTTAAGTGTCAATTTGGATGCCTCATTGTGCCCAAATATTTGTTCACACATTATTCCAGATATTTTTATGAAGATTGTTTTCCATGAGATTAGCATATAAATTAGTCAACTTTGAGCAAAAGAGATTTTCCTCTGTAAGTTGGGTGGGTCTCATCCACTCAGTTAAGAACTGAATAGAACAAAAGTACTGACTTCCCCCAAGCAAAGAGTAATTCTGCCAGTAGATATCCTTTGGATTTGAACTGCAATGTTGGTTCCTTCCTGAAACTTTATTCTGATGGCCTTCAGACTTGAACTACATTATTTGCTCTTCTTTGGGTCTCCAACCTGCCAATCCATCCTGCAGCTTTTGGATTTGCCTGCTCCCATAATCATGTGAGCCAACTTCTTAAAATAAACTTCTGTATCTCTCTCTCTATGGAGAGACAAAAATAGAGCCTATTGGTTCTATTGTTTATATTTTTTCGGAGAATCCTGACTAATACAGTGTGTTATCTTTTCTTAGGGTTCTCTAAGCTTCTTAGATCCATGTATTGGTGACTGTCACTAACTTAACATTTTTCAACTACTATTTCTTCAAATTTTTATTTTGTTTCATTTTGCCTTTTTCTTCTAGTATTACAGTTTTGCAGATATTTTCCCACAGTTCTCGAATGTTCTCTTCTATTTTTGTCACTTTATTCAATTTCAGTTTGAAAAATTTCTATTTACCTGTCTTCAAATTTACTGACTTTTTATTTAGTTGTGTTGGGTATACTGATGAACTATGGAGAGCATTCTTCATTTTTGTTGCCATATTTTTTAAAAATAATTTATAACCTTTTCTTTTTATTCTTACAATTTGCATCTCTCCTCTTATGTGACCCTTCTGGTTTTGCCTGTCCTGTACCTTTTTCATTAGAGATTTTGACAAGGTAATCATAATCATTTTTAAATTTCCTCTCTGACAATTCCAACATTCATGTCATAAGTGAGTCTGTGTCTCATTAATACTTTGTCTTCTGACTGTGTGTTGTTTATTTGTTTGCTTCTTGCCTTTTGGGCATGTCTTAGAACTTTTTGTTGAATGATGAACATATCATATATGTTAATAGATGTTTGGTATACATGTTATCTGGCCAAGAGTTGTGTTATGTTTGATGTTTGTTGTAGCTATGGACACTGGAAGATTCATATTTCTCTAGTAATCATGTTTTTTTTCTCTCCTGTTGAATTTTGGGCTTCTCTATTCTGCTTCTTAGAAAGTTTTATTTATTTATTTTTTCTTTTAGCTCTTTCAGTTGTAATCCACTGTAACCATTATTGGAGGCATTACTAGTATAGTGATCATATAGGAAAGAAGGATATAAGGCATTCTCTAGGTTTTATGTTTTATTCTCAAGTTTTGGAATGCATAGTAAGCTGTGTTTCAGAGCTGTGACTTTTGTAATTCGTGTTTCTTTTTTTTCTTTAGGGGTAGACTCTTTTTCACCCTGCCTCCTAATTCCTTCCCTTCCCTTGGCAGAGTCACAAAGGGAGCACTCTTAGGATTTTTCTAAATCCACTCTATGAAAGCCTGGTGGAGCTTCTGGAGGAAAGCCTACAGAAATGAGGGGTATTCCTGTGATTGCAGCCTCCAGAAGCTAGCCCACATTTGGGCACCATAAGTTCATCAGAATTTCTAGTTTAACGTTCTTACTGCCTTCTAGGGTGTCTGGCAGTGTCTGCTCCAGATAAGAAATTGCTCATGTGTTTTGTCCTTCTTAAAATAACTGTTTCTAAATATTTCAAGGAAATCCAGTAACTTCACTTCTCTGATGAGTCCAAAAAGTGTCAACTGATTTTCAGTTTTTCCAGCTTTTCCTTGTTAAAAGAATGAAAGTGACAAATTCTAAGCTCTTATGTGTCTTAGATGATCTATCTTAGATTTCTGAAGTATCCAAACATGTCATTAACAATGATATGGAAGGGAAATTCTGGGAAAGGAAGGACATGATCCCTTTAAATTATACGGAAGGGGGTAAGGTTGTGGTCCCTGGCTAGGACTCCACACCCAGGCCTGTGGCCACAGACCTACATGAGGACAGGCATTTTTGTTTTCCTGCCCAAATGTTGCATTTCCCAAGACTACCCTGGCCTGCCATGGCCCCATCCTGTGCCTGTAAAAACCCCAAGATGCTAGCAAGCAGACACACAGGTGGCTGGACATCGAGAGGAGCACATCAGCAGAGGAACACACGGATGGTTGGATGTCGAGAGGAACACACCGAACATGCTGGCAGGCCACCGACCAGCAGAATGACACAGAGTTTGGTTGGGGCAGTTGGAGGAGAGTCCAGGCCTCCAAGTGGCCCAACTCTAGGGGAAAATCTTCTCCCTTCTGGCTCCCCCACTGCTGAGAGCTACTTCCATTCAATAAAACCTTGGACTCATTCTCCAAGCCCATGTGTGATCCAATTCTTCCCGTACTCCAAGGCAAGAACCCTGGGATACAGAAAGCCCTCTGTGCTTGCGATAAAGCAGGGGTCTAATTGAGCTAACACAGCCACCTATGCAGGGCTAAACTAAAAGAGCACCCAGTAACACATGGTCACTGGGCTTCAGCTGTAAACATTCACCCCTGGACACTGCCATGGGTCTCCCTGCCCATCTGTATGCTCCCCTAAAGGTTTGAGCAATAGAGCACTGAAGAAGCAAGCCACATCCCCATTTCACACCCTGCAAGAGGGACAAGGGAACTTTTCCCATTTCAGCAACATCATATATATATGATCATACATGATATATATATGATATATAATTTATATAATGTTGCAAATTATAAAATATATAAAATATATTAAGTAAAATTTCCTGACAAATATTTAAAATTGGGATAGTAGAAAGCATCCTTGTCTTTTTCCTAAATATAACATTTATTTTCACTGTTTCTCAGATAAGAATTTTGTTGGCTGTTGGTTAGTTATTCACCTCAAAAGAGTTTAAAGTTCACAGTTGGCAGAATTTCTTATAGTCTTAGTAGGACTGCCTGTCTCTGAGCATTGACATCATTTTCAACATGATTTAGGCAGCTAGCATAGACATCCACTTGCTTTTTGTAATGTAGTCTTTCCCTAGGATGAACATCACATCAACCTATTAGAAAATATATGGGCAAACTCAGAGAGTTCCTACTCATGGAGAGACCCTAAAATTATACTAATAATTAGAATAATTATTCACCTCCATGTAAATGACAATAGAGAAAATTATCTTTATGACTCTTGTCCTTGCTTACTTTGATGATCACAAGGGGGCCAAGACTCCAAAATTCTCTATCATAAAGTGGATCGATTTTTATCTTCTCATGGCAGTGTATATACTATAATATGTACCCATGTTCAATCTATTCTAAATGCCTTAAATCCTCTCACTGTGCTCTCTAATGGAAAAATGTTTCAATGTTTTCCTGGATGTATCCTTTACCTTCTTAAATTTTCTGGATGTCTCCAGAGGACAGTGTTTCCCCCAGGAGCTAAGATGAGTGAAAGAGATTCTATTATCTCACATTCTATGAACTAGTGGGCCTGAGAATATATTGTCTTAGTTTTTTTTTTTTTTTTTTTTTTTTTGCCAATTCTGGACCATTATTCTTCCCTTCTAATTTACAAAAAGAAAAAATATCCTTTGAATTGCATGCAATACTATACTATATATTATATATGGTGTTAGTATAACATTTGTATTAGTCTGTTCTCACACTGCTGTAAAGATATTAGTCTGTTCTCACACTGCTATAAAGATACTACCCAAAACTGGGTAATATATAAAGAAAAGGGGTTTAATTGATTCACAGTTCTGCATGGCTGGGGAGGCATCAGGAAACTTACAATCATGGTGGAAGGGGAAGCAAGCACCTTCTTCTTAAGTCGGCAGAAGAGAGAAGAGTGAGTGAAGGAGGAACTTGCCAAACACTAATAAAGCCATCAGATCTTGTGAGTACTCACTACCATGAGAACAGCATGGGAGAAACCACCTCCATGATCCAATCACCTCCCACCAGGGTCCTTCCTCAACATCTGGGGATTACAATTCAAGATGAGATTTGGGTGAAGACACATGGGCTAACCGTATCACTGTCTCTCTTTTTATTTATAGACTGGCTAATTATTTACATTTCTTCCTTCAGAATTTTATGTCTGACTTAATTTATATCCAACACCACTCTTGTCAGTTGTCAGGAATGTTAAAATAATAATAAAAAAAATCCCTCAAACTGTTCTCTCAGTTTCTTGACTTCATTAGTGTCGGTGAGCTTTTCCTTTGTCCCACCTGTGACACCTCCACCTGTGATCATAGACATTATTATTTTCATTAATTACATTTACAAAATCTCAATTTCAATAAATCCATTCACCAGTCACAATATCCCATCTTTGTAGGTCATAGCCTCTAGCATCACTTTCCAACAATTATTTGACTCTATTGGAATCAAACTTATTTACATTACCACCTTTTCACTTTTCAATGTTTTCTGCCTGTATTACTTTCCCTTATTACCCACTTTAGAGTTCATGTTCTTTCATTGCAATCTCTGCCTTGTATGTACATTCCACTTGCCTGTTTGTTCCTCTGTTGCTCACACTTTTTATTTCTCTATTGTAGTTACCTGGAAGACCCTCAACTCTACTTAATCTAACTCTCTACTTAGTCTGTACCTATAACAAAAATAACAGGTCTGGAAAAAGAAAACAAACAAACAAAGAAATAACAAGAAACTCAAGCTGAAAGGTTTCAAGTTAATTTATGACCAAAGAAATAAAGTGAATTTTCCTGCTGCTTAGCAATCATACTATCTGTCCTAAATTCACTTGATCTTCAAGACAAACATGGAGTGAATTAAAACTAAATTAACATGTCCAAATATGTATCATTGAGTATGTAGGTTATATGTGAACCTGTAAATTCTAGTTGGCAGAGTAACTCTCACAGTTAATTTTAACTTTATAAATGTTCATATGGAGTGTTCATGTCACAGAGCAGATGTCAATCCTGTGTTTTAACACTTCCTAGAGATTTTTATAGCATATTGCCATTGATGGTTGAAATCAGACATTTTTCATTCTGCTCCCAGTTTCCTATAGCTTGTAAATTATAGATTGTACAAACACAAGTTCTTAATGCACTTCCACAATAAAAAAAAAACATGCATTGTGATACTGAGGATCTGCTTGACTATAACTGAGGAGTGTCCAATCAAAGCTTTGAACAGACTGACCAATCCTGTGCTGTGTAGGGTGCTCATTAATAATTTGTAATTAATGATGGAAGTGAGACAGTCTAATACTGTTGTAAACCGAAGGTGTTGAAGCCTTCTTGTAGCTTCGCATCAAGGTTAAAAGATTCCATCATCAAATCCATATTTGTCACCCCTGTCCAAAATGTTCTCTGTTGGGGAGGTGGCCAAGATGGCCAACTAGAAGCAGCTAGTGTGCATGGCTCTCATGGAGAGAAAAGGAAGGGGTGAGTAAATACAGCATTTTCAACTGAAACATCCAGGAGCGTGCATAAGGACTAATCAAGAAAACAACTTGACCCACGAAAAATGGAGAAAATCAAAGCAGAATGATGGCCTACCCAGGAGTGACATGGAGCCAAGTAACCTCCGCCACCCAAGGAAGTGGTGAGTGAAAGTGTGACTGCAGGAACCCACGCTTCTTCCACAGATCTTTGCAACCCTTGGGTCAGGAGATTCCCCTCATGAACCCACTCCACCAGGGCCTTCAGTCTGACACACAGAGCTATGTGGAGTCTTTGCTGAGCATCTGCTCAGGCACATGTGGAGACCCAGGAGCCTTAGATACTCAGGCTTTCTGGGCTTCCCAGAAAAATTACTTGCAATTCCAGCAAAGTGAAAGGTTAGACCACCTGTACATATCCCTAGGAAAGAGGCTGAATCCAGGGAGCTGAGCAGTGACTGTCCGCAGGTCCCACTACCAAGGCACCTCACAGAATAAAACTCTGGCTTGGAATTTCAGCCAGCCACTGATAGTAATATTGCGACTGGGATGGAGCTCCTGGGGGTAGGGGTAGGCCACCATCTTTGCTGTTTGGGAGACAGCCGTTCCACCCTGTGGTCTTTGGAGAGTCTAAGCTGACCAGAAACAGGAGGAATCCTACAGCACATCACAACTGCTCTATGAAAATACCACCAGACTGCCTTTTTAAGAAGATCCCCTCTCCCATTCCTTTTCAGTGTGCAGGACTTCCAACTGGGGTCTTTAGCCACCCCCACTGGTGTTCTCCAGTTGACAGAGATTTGAAGCCTCCCTGGAATGGAGCTCCCAGAGGGAGGGATGGCCTGCCATCTGTGCCGTTTGAGTGACATAGCTATTCTGGCCTTTGGAGAGTACAAGGTGACTAGGGGCTGAAGTGGACCCCCTGCACAGCACAACTGCCTTATGAAAACATGACCAGATTGCTTTTTTAAGCAGTTCCCCAATCCTGTTTCTCATCATCAGTGGGGCCTCCCAACCCGGATCTCCAGCTATCCCCGCCAGTGTTCTCTGGCTGACAGAGGTTTCAAACTCTCCAGGGATGGGGCTCCCAGAGGAGGGGTGAGCTGCCATCTTTGCTGTTTGAGTGACTTAGCTATTCCGGCCTTTGGGCTTTGGAGTGTCTGAGGTGACTGGGGGCTGAAGTGGATACCCAGCATAGCACAGCTGCTCCACCAAAACATGACCAGGCTGCTTTTTCAAGCAGGTCTGCCAATCCTGTTCCTCCTCACTGGGTGGGAACTCCCAACCGTGGTCTCTAGCTACCTTCTACAGGTGTGTTCAGGCCAAAAACAGGTCTGGAGGAGAAGGCTGCCATCTTTGCTGTTACACAGCCTTCACTGGTGATACCTCCAGGTATTGGAAAATCTAAGGTGACTAGGGACTGGAGTGAGCCCCCAGCATACTGCAGCAGTCCAATGGAAAAGTGACCAGACTTAAGTGGGTGCTTGGTCCCACGTCTCCTCACTGGTGAGGTCCTCCATGCCTGGGCCTCCAGCCACCCCCACCAGAGCTACTGAGCCAGTAGCAACCGAGAAAATTCCTGGACAGAGCCTCCAGGGACAACTGAAAACTTCTCTGCCACGGCCTCTGGAGTGGAACTGATCTTTCTACCCTCAGACTAACAAAGGAGCAAAGACCCTAAGTCTTTTATCCACACCTCCAATGTGCTGCAGTTAACCCAAGGAGAGGAAGCCAGTCCATGTCCCACAGGTCCCACACCTGTGTACACACACACACATACACACACACAAACACACAACGTGGAAGATTAAATAAAGCTAAATTACTATTACATCACTTGCTATCACTTTTAATGAGAAATTTGAATTGCATTCTCTTAACAATTTTTAAATATACATTAATATTAACTATATATAGTTAATATAATTTTAAAATACATTATTAAAATACATATTATGTATTAAAAGTACATATTATTATATTGTAATAATAGAAATATACATTATTATTAACTATATATGTGTGTGTATATATATATACTGGATTTCTGTGTCTATTATTTCCATATTTGTTCCATGTGTACCCACTGCTTAACTCCTAAAGGTGAGACTATGCAGTATTTGTTTTTCTGTTTTTGAGTTATTTCATTTAGGTTAATGGCCTCTCGCTCCAACCATGTTGCTACAAAGGCATTATTATTTTTTATGGCTGCATGGGATTTCATGCTGTATATATACGACATTTTCTTTGCACAATCAACCATGGACTGACACTTAGGTTGATTCCATGACTTTGTTACTGTGAATAGGACTGCCATAAACATATGAGTGCAGGTGTCTTTTTGGTAGAATGATTTCTCTTCCTTTGGAGAGAGAAGCAGCAGTGGGGTTGCTGGGTCAAATGGCAGTTCTGTTTTTAGTTCTTTGAGAAATCTGGATACTGATTACCTTAGGGGTTGAACTAATTTACAGTACAAGTAATGGTAAATAAGTGTCCCTTTTTCTCTACATCCTCACCAACATCTTTTATTTTTTGAGTATTTAATAATAGCCATTCCAACTCTTATGAGATGGATTTCATTGTGGTGTTAATTTGCATGTATATGATGATTTGTAATATTGAGTCTTTTTTCATATATTTGTTGACTCATTATATGTCTTCTTTGAGAAGTGTCTGTTCATCTCCTTGCTCACTATTTGATGAGGTTATTGGTTTCTTAGTGTTGATTTGTTTAAATTCCTTTTAGATTATGAGTATTAGTCATTTATCAGACTCAGTTTGCAAATATTTTCTTCCACGCTGTAGGTTATCAATTTAGTCTGTTGTTAGTGTCTTTTGTTGTGCAGAAGCCCTTTTATTTAATTTTAACTTGTATATTTTTGTTTTTGTTGCACTGGCCTTTGATGCCTTAGCCATAAATTCTTTACCTAGGCCAATGTCCAAAAGACATTTTCCTAGGTTTTCTTCCAGAACTTTTTGATAATCCAGTCTAAAATGTAAACTTTTACTCCATCTTGAGTTAATTTTTCTATGCAGTGGGAGATAATGGTCCAGTTGCATTATTCAACATTTAGCTAGCCTGTTCTTCCTGAAGCATTTATTGAATAGGATGTCCTTTCCCCAATGTTTACTTGTGTTTACTTTGTCAAGAATCAGTTAGTTGTAGGTATGTGGCTTTATTTCTGGTTTCTTTTTCTATTCTATTGATTTATGTGTCTATTTTTGTCCCTGTGCAGTGCTGTTTGGGTTACTATCTCCTTGTAGCATAGTTTGCAGTCAGACAATGTGATGTTTCCAACTTTGTTCTTATTGCTTACGATTGCTTTGGCTATCTTGGGCTCTTCTTTGTTTCCATATGAATTTTAGAATTGTTTTGTCTAACTCTGTGAAAAACGATGTTGGTATTTTCATAAGAATTGTATTGAATCTGTAGAATGCTTTGGGGTGTATATTCATTTTAATCATATTGATTCTATCCATGGGCATAGCATGTTCTTTCATTTGTGTTGTCTACAATTTATTTCATCAGTGTATTGTAGTTTTCCTTATATAGGTCTTTCACCTTCCTGGTTAAAGGTATTCATAGATATTTTTGTGGCTATTTTAACTAAGATTGATTTATTGATTTGGCTCTTAAATTGAGCATTGTTGGTGTATAGAAATGCAACTAGTATTTGTGCATTAATTTTGTATCCTAAAACTTTGTTGAAGTTGTTTATCAGATGTGAAAGTCTTCTGGAGCAATCTTCAGATTTTCCAGATATAAGATCATCTGATCAGCAAACAGAGATAATTTGATTTTCTCTTTTCCAACTTGGATGTTTTTTTTTTCCTCCCTAGTTTCTCTGGGTAGGGCTTTCAGTACTATGTTGAAGAAAAGTGATGAGAGTGGACATCCCTGTCTTATACTAGTTCTTAGGAGGAATGCTTTCAATTTTTCCTCATTAAGTATGATGTTGGCTGTGGGTTGTCATACATGGCTGTTACTAATTTGAAATATATTTGTTTGATGCCTACGTTGTTGAGGGTTTTTATCATAAAGGGATGCTGAATTTTATCTGCAACTATTGAGATGATCATGTGCTTTTTGTTGTTATTTCTGAATATGTTGTAAATAACACATTTTCATATGTTGAACCATCCTTGCATTTCTGGGATAAACCCCACTTGATGATGATAAATTATGTTTTTGGCTTGCTGGTAGATACTGTTTACCAGTATTTGGTTGTGAATTTTGTGTCTATGTTTATCAAGAATATTGACCTAAAGTTTACTTTTGTGTTGCATTCTTGCTAGATTTTGGTGTCAGAATAATACTGGTTTCATAGAATGAGTTAGGGAGGCATGTCTACTCCTTTATTTTTTGTAGTAGTTTTAGTAACATTCGTACCAGATTTTGTTGTACTCCTGGTAGAATTTAGCTCTAAATCCATATGATCCTGGGCTTTGGTTGGTAGATGTTTTATCACTGATTCAATTTCATAACTCATTATTGGCATAGAAAATTCCTGGAAACATGC
This sequence comes from Homo sapiens, assembly GCF_000001405.40. Classification (NCBI taxonomy): domain Eukaryota; kingdom Metazoa; phylum Chordata; class Mammalia; order Primates; family Hominidae; genus Homo; species Homo sapiens. The sequence continues at coordinate 6,614,923 of NC_000024.10, read as the reverse complement.
AAACTTCCAAGATTGAACCAGGAAGAAATAGAAATCTATGTCTAATCTATTTCTTCCTGGTTCAATCTTGGAAGTTTGCATGTTTCCAGGAATTTTTCCATTTTCTTTATGCTCTCTAGTTTGTGCATGTAGAGATGTTCACAGTAATCTTTGATGGTCTTTTGTATTGCTGTGGTATCAGTTGTAATATAACCTTTATCATTTCTAATTGTGCTTATTTGAATTGCTTTTCTTAATCTAGCTAGCTGTCTATCAATTTTTACTTTCAAAAAAACAAACTTGTCATTTTGTTGATCCTTTGTATTATTTATTTGGCCTTAATTTCATTTAGTTCTACTATGATTTTTGTTATTTTTTTCTTCGACTGTCCTTGGGTTTGAATTGTTTCTGTTGTTCCAGTGCTTTGAAGTGTGATATTAGGTTGTCACTTGAAATCTTTTATCTTTTTGAAATAAACATTTAGTTTTAGAAACTTTCCTTTTAATACTACTTTTGCTGCATCTGAGAAGTTTTGGTGTGCAGTGTCTATATTTTCATTTGTTTCAAAAAATTTTAATTTTTGCCTGAATTTTATTGTTTACACAAAGTCATTCAAAAGCAAGTTGTTTATTTTCCTTGTTCTTGTATGGCTTTGAGGACTCCTCTTGGTATAGATTCCTAGATTTATTCCACTGTGGTCTGAGAATATACTTGATCTGATATAGTGATAGATTTTTAAAAGTATATTGAAACTTGCTTTATGAACAAGTATATGATTAGTTTTGGGGAATTAATCTGTGAATTTTCATCTGTGCATGAAATCCATAAATTGACTATATTTCATGAACAGAATAGAAAAATGTATATCGTGCCATTGTTGGATGAAATATTCTGATTTATCTATTAGTTTCAATTGGTCAAGAGTACAGTTTAAGACCAGAGTCTGCATCAAATATTTTTCTACTGCTGTCAATGAAGTATTGAACTCCCGTCTATTATTTTATGAATGTCTATCTCTTTTCTTAGTCATATTAGCATTTGTTTTATAAATCTGGCTTCTTTGGTGTTGGGTGCATATATATTTAGAATAGATAAACCTTCTTGTTGAATTGAACCCTATGTCATTACACAGTGCCTTTTTTGTCTGTCTTTACTGTTGTTTGTTTAAAGTCTGGCTTATGTGGTGTGATACAAGAATAGCAACCTTGCTCTGTTTTGTTTTCCACGTATGTGAAATATATTTCTTCACTCATTTACTGTGAGCCTATGGATGTCATGACACTTTAAGTAGATCTCTTAAAAGCAACATATGGTTTGGTCTTGTGTTTTATTTTTTAAATCCAATTTGCCATTCTATACCTTTTAGTGGAACATTTAAGCTATTTACATTAAAGGATAATATTGATATGTGAGGTTTTGTTCCTGTTATACTGTTGTTAGCTAGTTGCTGTAGTCTCAATTGTATAATTACTTTATAGGATCTGTGAAGTTTATATTTACATGTGCATTTTGATAGAAGTATGATCTTTTTTATTTCCATGCTGAGAACTCATTTGAGCATTTCTTTGTATGTACAATCTAGTGGTGGCATGATGACAAATTATCTTCGTGTTTCCTTGTATAGGAAATACATTTTTCTGCTTTATTTATGAAGCTTTGTTTGGCAGGATATGAAAATTTTGGATGGCATTTCTGTTTCTTTTAGAAGGCTCAAAATAGAGCAACATTCTCTTCTGTTTTCTGTGGAGCAGTCTGTTGACAGTCTGATGGGATTATCTTTGCATGGGATTTGTCCCCCTTTCTCTATCTGCTTTATGATTTTTTTCAGTACGTTTGACCTGGGATAGTCTGGATGACTACATGTCTTGGTGATGTTCATCTTGTGTAGTATCTTGCAGTCATTCTCTGAATTTTTTGTATCTGGATGTTTATCTCTCTAGCAATATTAGGGTAATGTTCCTGAATTATTGCCACAAATATGTTTTCCAAATTGCTTACTTTTTGTTCTTCTCTCTCAAGAATGCATATAAATCATAGGTTTGGTCACATTTCCTCATCTCATATTTCTCAAAGGCTTTGTTGATTTTTAAAAATTATTTAAAAAATATTTTCTGATTGGATTAATTTGAAAGACCAGTTTTCAAATTCTGGAATTCTTCTGTTTGATCTAGTCAACTTTTGAAGGTTTCAATTCTATTTGAATTTTCTTTTATTTTTTAATTCCAAAAATTCTATATTTTTAACATAGCTATCTCATCTTCCCTATCCTGAATCATTTCTCTGGTTTTTTTTGTTTGTTTTTAATGTTCTATTTCATCTCTTTGAGCTTCATTATAATCCATATTTTGAATTCCTTATTTCTCATTTCAGAATTTTCATTTTGTTTAGGATCTATACTGAGATAGCGAGTCCATTCTGCTGGAGATGTTGAAACAATCTGTCTTTTTGTACTGCCAGAGTTCTTGCAATGATTTTTTTCCTCCTCTGAAGCAGTGTCACTTCTCAGTTTTGTGTTTGCTATCATTTGGATGGGACTTCTTTATTATTTATTCTTTTTTTCCCTTGAGGTTGTTACTGTGGTGTATCTTGTGTAAAATCATTTGGTTTTATTTCTGGATGTTTTCAAGGTGCACAGGTTTTGTATGGGTTCCTTAGTTGTGGATAGCTCTTTTGCAATAATTTTCCCAAATGCATCTTGTTGTACCAATGTACTGAACATATGATCTGACTATCTCCTGTGGGTCCGAGAATGCAGAAATCTCAGGAAGCTTATATCATACACTGGCACTATGCCTTTTTAGTAGTAAGTTTTGTATTTGGTAGTGAAGTTTACTCTCCAGTAGAGTAAATGGTGCTTTAGAGTAAGAGCCAGCTCACTCTCTGGTAGCTTGATAATAAATATAGGCATCTACTTTCTTGGGGAGCACTGAGGGGGAGATCATGTTGGAATGCACTGAAGCATCCAGGATAGGAATAAGGGGGTAAAGGCTGCACCAGCTTCTCATCCTGGGCAGGCAGAAATACAATCTTCTTCCTTATGATGCCCCATAACAGGGCTCATGACCTTCAATTCATATGGATACTGTTCTTTGGCTCCTAACTGAAGTGTGAGTCTGTATTATTTCCCCTCTGGCAGCTACCATCAAAACAAGCTCGAGGCAGAGATACATCCCTCAGTCCAGCACAGAAAGCTCTGTGACTTGTCTGCCTGCTGTTGCCAGGATTTTATTGCTCTGTGTAAAAGGGGAAGATGGGCCTCATATTTTGTGCATGCCCATTCAGTATGGTCTTACTTGCAATGGGAGTGAAACCACTGTATAAAGCAATGGGAAGGTTGTCTCCAAGTAGACTCACACCAAATCCCAGTGTGAGAGCCTCTACTGTGTCTGTGACAGTCGATGGGGCAGCACAAGATTACCCCTTCTCCACGTCTGTTCCCAGTCACTGGTGCTACCACCCTCAGTGATTGGTGCTTTGTTTACATTTCCTTTGTCCCAAGGTGGCTTTGATGGTCTGTGTTCTCCCTGTTCCATAGGGGTGGCCCCTGCTGAAGGCTAGATCTTCAGGGATTATGCAGCTTCGCAGAAACTCGGCAGTCTCCTCTCATTGCCAAAGTCAGAGCAAGTTTTGGGGTATGTTTGCAGGATATCTGGTGATGCAATGATATAAGAGCTGAGTTTCCCTAGACAAAGCAGTGGCTCACATTGGGTACACAAACAGTATGTCTCCGACCATCTCGGTTCAGCCCTGAGAAGAATGTGGGTGCATCTGTGTGAACTGACCGCACAGTGCTCTGTCCCTGGCAATTTCCCAAACAGCCACCAAAAGCATTGCCCAGGGTAACTAAGACAGAAGGCCTCCCCAACAATTTAGTGGTCAGCAGATTGTTGCAGGCATGAGGAAAGTACAGAAGCACTCGAACCTGTCCTTTTCATGGAGCTCCGAGTTCTTTGGGGGATTAGTTTTTGCAATATACTTAATATATTTGCTGTTTGCCTTTTAGGCACACCAGCTGTTTCCCCTGGGCTCTCAAAGAGATCCAGGCCTTCTTTCTTCAGCTTTCCATTCAAATCATGGCCACTCATTTGTAATTTTGATCTTTCTGAGGAGATCTGGAATCTGACATCCCTAATCAGCCATCTTAAAAACAAACAAACAAACAAACAAACAAAAACAAACCTGCTGCATGTTAGAACAGTTTTTCCAATTAAAGTAACTAAAGTATTCTTTATTGCTGGTTTTTATATTATTTCTTTCAAAACTTTGAATATTTCATACCATTCTTTCCTTCAGGGTTTCTGTTAAGAAATCCATTGATAGTATGTCAGGACTCCCTTGTATGTGATGTAGTTCTTATCTCTGGATCTGGATTTTTTTTATTCAAAAATTTTTACTCCTTCAGTGCCGGAAAGAGCCTACACCCATGAACTCAGCAGGAAGCAGTTATAGAAGACAGATCTCCATCCTTTTGTGAACCCCTTGAATTTAAAAATAAGTATCTAATCTCTGAGTGAGGAATGAGGTAGGAGGCAGGATTTTACTCTGGATCAGACTGAAGACTGGCTGAAACAGGGAAGAGGCACCCAAAGCACGTCTTCATAAGACTTGCCCACCAGTGCCATGTCAATTTGCCATTGCCATGGCAACACCCGGAAGTTACATCTCCATTCCATGGGAATGACCTTGAAATTACCAACCTTTTTATAGAAAATTCGGAATAACCCACCCCTTCATTTGCATGTAATTAAAAGTTGGTTATAAATATGACTGCAGAGCTGCCCCTGAGCTGCTACTCTCATTCCACTGCCTGTGGGGTAGATTTGCTCTGCAGGAGTAGTCATGGAGCTGTAACACTGCCACCTCAATAAAGCTCTTTTAATTACCACTGGCTCACACTTGAATTCTTCTTTAAAGTGAAGCCAAGAAAGTTTCCATTCTAATCCCCAATTTTTTGGCTCATCTGCCTTACTTCACTATAAGAAAGCACCAAAAACTGGGTAGCTTAAAAGACTATAATGCATTCTTTCACAGTTCTAGAGGTTAGAAGTGCAAGATCAAAGTATTGGCAGAACTGCTTTCTGCTGACTACTGTGAGAAAGAATTTGTTTCATGACTCTTGCCTAACTTATGATGGTTTACTGTTGATCTTTGGTGGCTCTTCACTTGCAGAAACATCACTCATATCTCTGCCTTTATCATCACATGAAATTTTCCTTGTGAGTTATCTAGGCCCAAATATTTTTATAAAGGACACCAATCATGTTGGATTAGACTATCACCCTACTCCATTATAACATCATCATAACTAATTACATGGTTAATCATTGTTTTTACAAATAAGGCCACATTTGGAGGTACTGGGAGCTGGGACTCCAACATAAAAATGTTGGAATAATTCAATTAATAAACAGGCTACTTACTTCATAAAAAGAAATGATAGCCATGTATATTGCTAAGAATGAAATAATCATCCTTATTGTTCATGAAAAAATATGTTTCCTCTACTATTGTGCAATCAAAGTAACTATTGTCTCTTTTATCATTGTTTTATGTCAGACAGAAAGAAACTATCTCCTCGGCATCAGATTAATGAGTGTCAACATTAAATTTTGCAATAAATGATTGGCAGGGAGTTCAAATACATAGTTTGAGAACTGGTATAAATGAATAGCTGTATTTTTCAGAAACTGTAATGAATAAAATAAAACAATCACTTACAAAAAATAATTTTGTTCTATATTACATCCAGAATCTATTAGTAACTTAAACAACCCAACAAGCAGAAACCAAATAAGCCCATTAAAAAATGGGCAGAGCACATCAATAAATGATTCTCAAAAGAGCACATACAAGTGGCCAATAAACATAGAAAACTATGCTCATCATTGCTAATCATCAGAAAAATGCAAGCTGAAACCACAGTGAGATACCATTTCACAACAGTCAGAATAGCTTTTGCTGAAAAATAAAAGTAAATAAATAAAAATGTTGGCTTGGCTGCAGAGAAAAGAGAACACTTATACACTGTTGGTGAGAATTTAAATTAGTTCAGTCACTCTGGAAAGCAGTTTGGAGATTTCTCAATAAACTGAGAGTTGAACTACCATTCAACCCAGCAATCCCACTCCTGAGTGTATACCCAAAATAAAATCCACCATCCTACCAAAAAGACACATGTATCCATACTTTCATCACTGTGGTATTCACAATAACAAAGTAATGGAATCATCCTAGGTGTCCATAAATGGTGAATTAGAAAAGGAAAATATGGTATATATGCACCATGCAATACTATGCAGCCATAAAGAAGAAATAAGTTATGTCCTTTGCAGAAACATAGATACAGCTGGAAACCACGATCTTAAGTGAACTAATGTAGAAACAGAAAACCAAATGCCACAAGTTCTCACTTATAAGTAGAAGCTAAACATTGGACACACACAATCATAAAAATGGGAACAGTAGATGCTGGAGATTTCAAAAAGTTAGAGGGAGGAAGTGGGGTAAATGTTGAGAAAAACTACCTATTGGGTACCATGCTCACTACCTCAGTGATGGATTAATTTGTACTCCAAACCACAGCATCACACAATATGCCATTGTAACAACACTTCACATATACCCCTAATTCTAAAACAAAAGTTGCAAAAATATTAAAATTATAAAATGTATTCTTTTAGCAACAAAAAGGTAAAATTATTTAAAATAAAAATAAGTAAAATCCAAAATCAAAAGACTTAAAGTAGTTGAATGGATATTTAAAAAAAAACAAATAAACAAACCTATGTGCTGTCTAAAAAATCCATACTTGAGATTTAGGGACTTAGGCTGAAAGGCGAGGAATAGAAAAAGATATTCTATGCAAATGTAAATAAAAGAAATGAGGGTGGCAATACTTATATTAGACAAAATAGACTATAATTCAAACACTGTAACAAGAGACACAAAAGGACATATAATGATGAATTCCTCAGGAAGGCCCAACAATTATAAACATGTATGTACATCTATTCAGAGGAACTAAAAATATAAAAAAGACAGAATAAAGAGATAAACTGCAATACAATAATAACTGAAGACTTCAATACCCCACTCTTAATACCAAATACATGATCCAAATAGAAAATAAAGAAATAACAGACTTCAAATCATTAAAGACCAAATGGACCTACCAGTCATATACAAAACATTCCATCCAACAGCAGAAAAATACACATTCTCAAAATGTCTTAACAAATTTTAAAAGAATGAAATCATACTAAGTATCTTTTTCTCCACAATGGAATGAAACCAGAAACCCATAAGAGAAGGAAAATTAGAATACTCAAAAATATGAGGAAATTAAAAACACAATTCTGAACAATCAATGGGTCAAAGAAGAAATAAAAAGAGAAATCAGAAAATATCTTAAGATAAATTAAAATGAAGAGACATAATACCAAAACTCATGGAATACAGCAAAAGCAGTACTAAATGGGAAGTTTGTTATGGTAAATGCCTACATTAATAAAGAAGATTGTCTCTGATCCAGGAGTCTTGTAAAAAATGAAGAAAGGAAGATCACAAATTAACAATCTAACTTGATACCTCAAAAACAACAATAACAAACTAAGTCAGAAGTTAGCAGAAGAAAGAAAATGGTACTATCTGAAACAAAAAATAATAATAATAAAATAAAAATTAGAACAAATCAATGAAACTGAGTTTTTTAATCAACAAAATTAACAAACATTTAACTAGACTAAGAAGAAAAGAGAGAAGACTAAAATTAATAAAATTAGAAATTAAAAGAAGACATTACAATTCTTTCCACAGAAATAAAAAAGAATCACAAACATTGGTATGAGCAATTATACAATAAGAAATTAGATAACTTGGAAGAAATGGAGAAATTCCTACTCCTACTAAGACTACAACCTACTAAGACTACTAAGACATACAACCTACTAAGACTGAATTTTTAAGAAATCAAAAACCTAAAATGACCAACGACAAGTAAGGAAATTTAATTAGTAATCAAACACCTCCCAACAACGACAAAACAACCTCAAGACCAGATGTCTTCATGGATGAATTTTATCAAACATTTAAAGAATACATAAAACCAATCACACTCAAATTCTTCCAAAAAATTTAAAAGGAGGGAACACTTTCAAACTCATTTTATGAGTCCAGCATTATTCTAATATCAAAGTCAGACAAAGACACTACAAGAAAAGTAAACTTCAGACCAATATTTCTGATGAACATATTTGCAAAAACCCTGAAGAAAATACAAGCAAATCAAATTTAATAACATATTTAAAAATGTACACTGTGACCAAGTGGAATTTATCCCTGGGTTGCAAGAATGGTTAAACATACAGAAAGACATTAATGTGATATATCACATTAACAGAATGAAGGATAAAAACCACATGTACATCTTGATAAATGCAAAAAAGTGTTTGAGAAAATTCAACACACTTGAGTCATAAAACTCAACAAACTACATATAAAAGAAATTTATATCAACATAGCAAAAGCCGTATATGACAGGTTCTCAGCTAACATCATAGTTAATGTTAAAAAACTGAATGCTTTTCCTCTAAGATCAGACACATGACAAGGATCCGTACTCTTGCCACTTCCATTTAGCAAAGCACTGTAAGTTTTAACCAGAGCAATTAGGCAATAAATAGAATAAAAAGCCATCCAATTTGAGAGGAAAGAAGTAAAATACTCCCATTTGCAGATGATGTGATCTTATATGTATGTAGGAAACCTGAAGATTCCACTAAAAACCTGTTACGTTACAAAAAAAATTCAATAAGGTTGCAGGACCTAACATCTACATACAAGAGTTACTTGCATTTTATACACTAACAAAAAGTTATTTGTAAAATGAATTATTAAAATAATCCCATTTCTAATAGTGTCAAAATATTTGTGTATGAACTCAAACAAGGAGGTGAAAGATTTTGAGACAGGTGGGAAGAGGTCGCTGGAGAAACTCCAACCAGCCTGCCCACTGAGGTGGAGTCTCCAAATTTCACCACATTTGCAGCAGGGAGGAGCCTGGCCCCTCCTCTTCCAGTGTGGAAACAGATTCAAATGGCCTGGCTAGAAGCACTGTAGCAGGCCCTCTGGCCTTGTGACAGTCCCGATTTCCCCCTTTTCTTCCTTTTCACCCAACAAAACCCTGCTTCACTCATCCTTCAAACATGGGACAGACAAGGACCCCATCTTTACCTGAACTAAGGAAAAGTCTTGCAATATTTTTGGCGCACAATATGGAGGCTCGAGAAGCGGTGCGTAAAATGGGGACTCAAAATCTCTCACTGGTTTCTCAGCCTTTTCATCCTTGGACTTCTGAGCTTACGGGGAACTGCACCCCTACACCCTGTTACAACCGGGGGTCGGCCAGCCGCTTCCCTCTCCAGGCTGGGGCTGGGTCGCATGGCCCAAGGGTCTCACACAGCTGGCTGTGCTGGTTCTCAGCCTTCTCCTTCCCCAGCCAAGGGGTTTTCCTTCTCCATCAGACAGTAATTAAACTTTTCTCCCTGGTGGAGGAACCAGTTGCATAAGAGTAAGAGATTCTTCCCCAGGCAGTCTAAAACTCTTTCTTTTTTCCTCTTCTCCATCCTGTCCGCAGTTAATTTTTTTTTTTTTCTTTTAGGACACATTTTACCAGGCCATACCCCACTCCCCCCCACCCCCCACCAACTATCACTGTGTGTATTCTCTGCAAAGTTTTCATTGTGAAATCAATCTTTCATCTTGTTTTACATCCTGAGGGCGTGGCTTGTAACTCCAGTGTCAAGGCTTTGTTTAGCAATCCTGCCTTAGGAAGTAAGTTTCTTTCTGGTTTGATATCCGCATGTTTTCCTAGCCCTGTCTCTTAGAGGGCCCCACCCAGCAACTAGGTTTTCTTCTGCCTGTGTGTGTACTGTGCTTGATATCTGTAAAAAGAGATATCTAATTAATTTGGCCTAAAGAAAGACAAGCGCTTGGATCTAATATTTTTTACAGGGAAGTTAAAAGCTGTGGAACCTTTCAGTTCATGTGATTTTAATCTTTGAGAAACAAAAACAGCCCTTAAGACCATTGGCAAAATGCACGTCAGATGCAAGATTTGCTAAGTGTTTTGAGGTTAAAAACTGCTTTTTGGCTTTTGGGAACTATTTGACTTGCTGGCTTCACAATTGGTAAGGCCTGGGGACATATGGAACTAACAACGCCCTTAACTAAGAAGGCAAACCTTGACTGCAGTTAGCACACAATAAAAGCAACTTACCAAGTTTTACCTTAAAGTTAAAAATTTCCAGGAGTTAATTGAAACTACTAGAAATAGATTTACATGCAAGGTGTATAAGAACAGTAAAATGTGTTTTTTAGTAAAAGGTTATAAGAAGGCATGGAAATGTAAACTTTTGCCTAGAGTTAAAGGACTGTTTTGAGTTAAATTAGGAAAAAGCTGAAGGTTCAAAGAAGTGGTGGAAGAATTGTGGGAATTAATCTTGCAGAAGAGGTTCTCTGTGTGAACATATTGACTAAATTCAAAAAAAGGGTATTATATGGTTTGTCTGTAAATTGAGCATTGAAATAAAAGCATAACAAGGTTTTCCTAAGGTACTAATCTGCTTTTTGGCAAAATTTATAAAAGGTTATGAAAGGTTTCTCCTTCTTTAAAACTTGAGTCATCACTTTATCAAAATAAATAACTTATGGTAATCTGGAATTCTATTTCTTAATATCAAGTGTTTTAAACCTCGAACATTTAACAGCCTTCCCCAAATCAAACTTGTGTTGCACAATTGTCTTCTGTGGCACCTGGCTTTTCAGAGGGCTACTGTGGCTACTTCAAAGGGCCCCCAAAGTGTCCAGAAAAGAGAGGTAAACAGGATTATTTCACATGTTTAGGTACCCGAGATGGCCAAAATGATGCTCAGTCTTCTTTAGGTTATATCTTGGTGAATAATGCTAATATATGTTTCAAAATTGTATGGGATTTCTAAAATTCTAATGTCTGAGTATATGCTTTTGAAAGGTGAAGCCAGCTGGCCTTCTGGGTGGGGTGGGGACTTGGAGAACTTTTGTGTCTAGCTAAAGGATTATAAATGCACCAATCAGTGCTCTGTGTCTAGCTAAAGGATTGTAAACACACCAATGAGCACTCTGTAAAAACGCACCAATCAGAACTCTGTAAAATGGACCAATCAGCACTCTGTAAAATGGAACAATCAGCACTCTGTAAAATGGACCAATCAGCAGGATGTGGGTGGGGCCAAATAAGGGAATAAAAGCTGGCCACCGGAGCCAGCGGCAGCAACCCGTTCCAGCCCCCTTCCATGCTGTGGAAACTTTGTTCTTTTGCTCTTCATAACAAATCTTGCTGCTGCTCACCCTTTGGGTCTGCACTACCTTTATGAGCTGTAACACCATGAAGGCTTGTGGCTTCACTCCTAAAGTCAGCAAGATCACGAACCCACAAGGAGGAACAAACAACTCCGGACCAGCCACTTTTAAGAGCGGTAACACTCACTACAAAGGTCTGTGGCTGCACTTCTGAAGTCAGCAAGACCATGAACCCACTGGAAGGAAGAAACTCTGGACATATCTGAACATCTGAAGGAACAAACTCCGGACACATCTGAACATCTGAAGGAACAAACTGCACACACACCATCTTTAAGAACTGTAACACTCACAGTGAGGGTCTGCGGCTTCATTCTTGAAGTCAGTGAGACCAAGAACCCATCAGAAAGAACCAATTCTGGACACACTATCAATCATAATTAAGGTTTTTGTGTTACGTTATTGTAAACCACGGAGATAACCAAATTTTTTTTCAATTGCGTATCTAATTGTAACTACCCTGGACATTTTGCTATTCACAGACAATTGTTGTCTTGTTTTAATTTTTTTTAAAGATGGTTTCTAATGAGCTACAGAACTATAAAAGGTGCTCCCAAGTACAGGCTGCTGGTAACTTTGTAAATTGTAACAATGGAATAAAGGAAAATGTAAGGACTAAGGAAGAACTGAAATGTTCATGAATATCAAGCAAAACAAGAGTTAACTAAATGAACTGAACTCAGAAAGCTGAAGAAACCTTTTCGATTTTTGGTTGGAATATTGCTGATCCTTGTTTTGTTTTTCATAGTGAAGGAAACTTATTTTGAACTATTTACAGTCTTCAATAATTGAGTAAGATAAACTCCTATGAACAAAATTTGGAGCATGTTTGTTACTCTCTTCCTGGTTACTCTAAAATTTAGAAACTCTCTGTGAGTATTCCTAACTTATGGCAATATAATTGCATCAGTGCAAGAAGAATTCATTTTTCTTTTGTAACAGAACACAACTTGAGAAAGTGGTCATTTTATCAAGTCTTAGATTGGAAGGGTATGTTTCCCTTCGAAGAGTCAAGCTCAACTTACAGAGCCAGTAGAAGCCCAGTGGGGAAACTGGCCTCATATCCTTGTCTGTGCAGCCCTTGTACAGGGTTCCTGACTTGTTGTCAGTAAAGAATGTCAGTTTCAAACAGGTGTAGGAGCTCCAAGTTTATCTTGGAACCTTAAGAGGTGAGGATCACCCTACTCACAGGTATTTGAAGATACAAACCCATGGTTTGGCTTGGCTTTAAAAGGTCTTATTTGAGATTCCTTGTGGAAAAGAGAGAATTCCATCAAAGGTAATCCAAAAGGCCTATGTAGAAATAATTATTCTTGCTCCATTTTATGCAAATAATCAGGCCAAGTATAAGACTAAAATCTATTTGAATAACTCAGTCCTATGATCATTTGTTTCTTAACAAAAATGAGGACTGGAGAGGGAGACATTATGTTCCAAAACTTACCATACGTTTGTCACTAAATTCTAAACTCATTAGTTCTTTTTAAGTTTTTGCCTACATTTTAGATTAACTCTGCTTGTTCCTGTGAACCTACCAGCAATCTCCAGCTGCAGCTCAGAAAGAACAAAAGGGATGGGTAATGTACAAATCGGTGTCAATATTCTAGTTCCGAGCAATTATCCTGCAAATCTTGCCAGGTGTTAGAATAAATAAGGAATAAATAGGGTGCCCATCACCCAGAAGTTTCCTTCTGGGAAAGTAAGACCAAGGAAGGTAACAAAAGCCAAGCACCGTGCACCCAAATCCTAGCAAGCATAACTATAGCTATCAGTTATCTGAGTGTGTCACAAGACATTCTTTCCTCTCCCTTGCTGGAGGAGAACTCAGTTCCACAGTTTCATCTTAGCCTTTAGCTTATCATAAGGAGTCCATGCAACCCCCACCCCCACCGCCCTGAGAAACATTTTTGTCCCAAACTCAATTCCAAGCTTCGGGTCAAAGCCCTAGGAAAGAAAACTGGATCTGAGGGATCCAGAGGCAAATGACAACAGAGGTTAAAAGGCACAGTGCAGGTGAGTGTGGCTGTTTCCTGCCAATTAAGCCAACCCCAAACTTCCTGTTTCATGAATAAAAACTGTGTTAATACCCATGGCATAAATGAGGTCTAGGGAACTCTAAGGCTACTGACAGTAGATTGGAAAGGGACATAGGTGAGAGTGGATAATTCTTATTCTCTAGGTCTCCCTGCTTCATGGGTGCAAGTCTCTTTGACATCTATGACAGCACCTGCCAAGGTCACTGGAACTCGGGGATGCAAGGACAGAAGAGGGAAATAGGACCCTCTCCTCTTCCTACCTCATTTACCTCCGGGTATCTGCTAGGAAGAGAAGGGAACCAGGCATGCCTGCTCCTGTCTTTCTAGATAGGTAGCCATTCATCTTTAGTCTGTACCCCTTTCAAATGCATCCTGAGCCCCTGTGGCTCCTTTGAAAAAATGCCATCTTTTTATTCCTTTCTCCTCCTCAGGAGTCTCTTCATTGATAGGTAATTGTTTCTCCATACTATGGGACACTCCCTTCAGATGCATCTTCCAAACTATAAAGAGTAATTTCCTAAACCTTAAACTGGTTGACTTAAGGTTGGGCCCAGGGGAAGGGAACCCAGAAGCCCAACTTGCTGGCAAAAGGGTAAAGTTTTTTTTTTTTTTTTTTTTTTTTTTTTAAAACCGGTTGGGCTTTTGACCTCCCTCTCCCTGTACAAACTGGTAAAAGGCCTTGGGATCTTTCAGCTGTCCTTCTCCCTTCTCTTGTTTTGTTTTGATTCATGTTTTCTAATAACCTGGTTCATCTGTTCTTGCCTTCAGGACATCACACTCAAAACAGTCATGCAACCTGAGCCTCTGATGATGGCCCCTTCTGCTGGGATCCCTTAGATAGGACTTTGAGGGAGCTCTGACTACCGTTTCCCCCAAACAGCAACCCCTGTCAGCAGGAAGCAGTTAAGTTCATCTTTGTCTTTATCCTTAATCTAAGGGCAGTTAGATGCATGTCTTTAGAGGGGGAAATGAGACAGCCAGTTGGAAAGGAGTCCCTGGAGAAACTCCAACCAGCCTGCCCACTGAGGTGGAAACTTAGGAATTTCACAACATTTGCAGCAGGGAGGAACTTGGCCCCTTCTCTTCCTGTGTGGAAACTGAGATTCAAATGGCCAGGTGGGAAGCACTCTAGTAGAGACTCTGGCCTTGTGAGAGTCTCTTTTTCCCCCTTTTCTTCCTTTTCACTGAATAAAACCCTGCTTTACTCACCCTTCAAATTGTCTATGAGCCTAAATCTTCATGACCATGGGACAGACAAGGACCTCATCTTTAGCTGAACTAAGGAAAAGTTCTGCAACAATTTGTATGCCAAAATCTATAAAACATTGATTAAAGAAACTAAGGTAGACACCAATAGAAAGATATTCCATTTCCATAGATTGGCAGAATTAATATTGTTAAAATATGCATACTACCAAAAGTAATCTATGGATTCAATGCAATCCCCATAAATATCCCAATGACATTTTTTCCATAGAGAAGAATCCTAAAATTCAAATGCAACCATAAAATCTGTAGTCAGTCAAAACAATTTTGGGAAGGAAAGAAATCTGGAGGTATCACACTTTCTCATTTCAAAATATAGAACAAAGTTACTATAGTTACCACTGTATGGTACTGGCATAAAAATAGACATATAGTCCAATGGAAGAGAATAGACAGCCAAGAAATAAACTCATGTAGATGCAGTTGCCTGACATTTCACAAGGGTGCCAAGGTTACCTAATCAGGAAAATATCACTCTATTCAACAAATTCTGTTGAGAAAATAATATTTACATGCAGAAGAATGCAATTGAATACTTTTTATTATACCATACACAAAAATTCACTCAAAATGAATTAAAAATCTAAACAAAAAACCGGAAATTTTAAGGCTACAGTTTTACAGAAAATATTGGGAAGAAAAACAGTTCGTGACACTGGCCTTGGTAATAATTTTTTTGGATATTACACCAAAAGCTCAGACAATGAAAGCAAAGATAAACACATGGGACTACATAAGAATAAGAAAGCTTCCGAATAGTAAAGAAAACGGTTAACAGAATGAAAAGATAACCTAAGGAATGGGAGAAAATATTTGCAAATGATGTATCATAACAGGACAATACTTAAAATGCATAAGTAACTCCTTTAACTCAACAGCAAAAAAAAAAAAAAAGGAACAAAACCAAATAAAACAATTTACTAGATAGACATCTAATAGATACCTTAATAGTTAGACATTTTTCCAAAGAAGACATACAGTTGACCAACAGATATATAAAAAAGTGCTCAATATTGTTGTTATTGGAAAAGAACCGAGTTACCCCAAGTTACTGGTGGTCTATTCTTACAGATTCGGAGCATCTTCAGTTCTTGCCTCCTCAGAAGAAAGAATTCAACTGAGGAGCATAAAGCAGAAAAAGAGACTGAGACAAGTTCCAGAGCAGAAGTGGAAGTTTATTTCAAAAGGCCTTAGAACAGGAAAGAAAGGACGATGCACTTGGAAGAAACCCAAGCGGGCATGTGAAGGTGAAAGAGAAAGTCAAGTGCCCTGTTTAACCTTGATCCTAGGACTTCTATAAGCTCGCCTCTTCCACATGATTCTTCCCTTAGAGTGGGCTTCCCACATGCTCAGTACTTTCCTTACTCTTTGGAGTTGAGCATGCGCAGTGTGTTAAGGGAATTATGAGCCTGTCCATCTGAGGTTTTCTTCCCTTTTCTGGTGGAATGTGCCCGCGGAAGATCATACTTCACCATTTTTGTTTCTTAATGCTCATGTGCAGGAAGTTGCTTCTCCCTTGGGCATGCATTCAATTAATATTTTGATATTAACAGGTTTGGACCATCAGGAAATGACCTTCCTCTGGCATTACCAAATTAAAGAGGCAATGCAGTAATTGCCAGACCATCACCTGACATTCTAGTGGGTTGGGGGAGAGCCCTCTCCTGCCCCACTCATGCCTAACTATCTGTAACGACGTCACTAATTATCAGAGAAATGCAAATCAAAATCACAATCAAATACCATCTCACATCTCTTACAATGGTATTTTCAAAAAAATACCAAAATATATCAAGTGTTGTTGAAGTTGTAGAGAAGTGGGAACACTTGCACATTGTTGGTGGGAATATAAAATGGTGTTTTTGATATGAAAAATCATATGAAATTTCATAAAAAGCAAATATAATGAAACAACCATATGATACAGCAATCCCAGTTCTGGATACTTATCCAAAATTACTGAAATCAGTATCTTAAAGTTATATCTTCACTTCCAGGTTAATTGCAGCATTATTTACAATAGCTGAGATATAGAAACAACCTAAATGTCTATCATCAGATGAATGGAAAAATAAAACATAATATATATGTACATTGGAATATTATTCAGCATTAAAAAAGAAATTCTGCCATATATGACAACATGGGTGACCCTGGAGGGCATAATGCTAAGTAAAACAAGTCATCCACACAGAAGGATAAACACTGCATGGTTCTTTTTTCACTTATATTTGAAATCGAAAATAAACTCATAGAAGCAGAGAGTAGAATGGTGGTTGCCAGAGGCTGGGGAGAAGAAAGATAGGGAGTTGTTATTTAATGGCAATAATGTTTGTTATGCAAGTTAAATAACTTCTATAGATCTGCTCCAAAACATAGTGCATACAGTAAACGATACTATATTTTACACTTAAAGCAGTTCTTAAGAGGGTAGTTCTCATGTTGTGTTCTTCCCACACATGTGTGCACGTGCACACATATGTACACACAAACAAGAAATATGAGAAAACTTGGGGAGGTGATGAAGACTTTTATTACCTTCATTGTTGTGATGGTTTAAGGAGTGTATGTCCATGTTCAAACTCATCAAATTATATAAATTAAATATATGAGGTTTTTGGAAATCAATTATAACTTAATAAAGCTGTTGAAACAAACAAACCAGCCCTAAGTGATGCCATGAGATAAAAAAAGTGATATTGCTCTGACAACATAGGAGCTCTTGTGATGGCTTTGGGAAAAAAAAAAAGCCTTTTCAAAAAATGTCTGGTAATTGACAATTTTCCCTGTTATATTCCTTCTGAAGCAGTTATGGCTGGTCAATGTCTGTGCAACTTTCAGAAGCTTGTAATTTCACTTAAATTTTGTTTCCATCATTTTGAGAAAGCAGAAATAATCACATGCAGCAGCAGCAGTGTTGTGGAAATTATAATGTTACCTATCATCACAATAGGAAAACAACTAAAAGAGAATTGCAAATAAAGTTTTGTGCTGTCTCTCTATATATAATATATATACATTAGATATAGTTATATATTGTTATGTAATACCGATTACATAAAAAAAGTATTTTCATATTACTAGTATAAATAAGCTAAGAAGAAATGATGAACAGAAGAAAGGAAGGAAGAAAGGAGGAAGGGAAAAAGAAAAGAAATGTGGAAGAAAAGAATGCAGCAAAAAGAGTCTAAGATGTCAACAGAGTCAAACTATCAGATCCTTTTTCAAGGTTTATGGACATTTACGTGATGACTGATATGGTGGGTTCATTGTGTCAAGAGTTAGTAGAAGAAAAACTCTTTAACTGATTCCTCCATTAAGCCTATTCTAAACCATTCTTTTACTGGTAACAAATAACAAGGGACAAACTCTAGACCATTTTGACCCATAAGGCTGCCCTTTGGCCAGAGATCGGGGCAGGTACAATTAGAAATTCCAAATATCTTTCAATATATTTTCCCTCATGTCAACTATTTTAGAATTTCAATGAATAGCTCTATGTTCAAATTTCAAATCCCACAGCACTGCTTTAATAGAATCATCTTGCAAAAAGTTAATCCCTTTCTTCCCTTTACTTGTTAAGGCTAATTATATAGTTTCTCTAAACAGAGAAAATTACTATGCATGTGGTCTGTCAATTTCAGGGACACGGTGAGCTCAATTACTCTTGTGTAATAATTTATTTGCAACTACTCTTCAATATGTAGCCCTCATCAAACATGTTTATAAAAATTGTTATTTGAACTCTTTGTCAATGACCCCTTCCCATAAATTAAAAAGAACTTTAACCTAATTTTAAATTAAATGATGAGGTAAAGCTTTTAATCTCTTTCTTTAAAAAAGTAATCTAGAGAGCCATAATCTTTTTGCAGATTACTCGGACAGTTGAACAAATGTACTGCTATTGTATGCTACAGTTTTCATAGTCAAGAGGACAGTAACAGTAACCTGACAAGCAGTCATTACAAACGAGTTGGTTAGTGATTCCTCATCACTTTTTAATTGATAATTAAAAATGTTCTGGTCTCTGGGCTCAGTTCAAAAGTGGAAAAGGCCAAATCTCAATGCGTGAGGGCAAAGAAAGGCACATCTGAGTTTAATGAGAAACAAATTGCAAGGCAGTCAGGAAAATACAAGTGAACTCAAAACAGGTTATTCCTCTTGTAAAATGGTATAGTGGAAAGAGATTTTCTTAAATCTAACCAAATGTAGGATGGGACTCCCTCACAGCATTCTGAACAACTATGGAATTCACCTTACGTTTCACTTGACAACTGGTAAAGAAGAGGGAAGGGAGTGGAAATACTATCTCCTCCCACACCCCTATCAACTGTTGGCAAGATAGAACCAACTAGGAATGCTGAGTTACTAAGATAAGCAACAGCAGGAAGACACTATTTTCCTTAAACCAGAAGGGGAAAAAGGAGAGAATAGTATAGTAGTATCAAAGCCCAACAGGAGTCAGATTGTAGTGAACAACTGTAAAGCAATGAGCAATTCAAAGAATAGCATCTCCTGTTAAAAAATGTAATATGGAGGCAAGAATGGAGCAGGTTAAAAAAAATACTGTGGTGTAATAAAAAATGTATTTGGTCTTTGTTTCTGGTTTTAGGAGCTCTGTGCTCCTACAGAGCTCTGTGCTTAACCTATGGGGTTACTGCCCCATAGGGTACTGCCACTAACAGAAGTTAGTGAGAGAATTGAATTGAATTTTCAAACACTTTGTTGGTATTGGAGAATTGCAGAAATGGTGTGGAAAAATACATTTATTTGTTGTCAGAATAAAATCATATATTTTGTGTCAGAATTGATGTCAGAAAACATAAAAAAAGACCCTCACGGCCTCTTTTTTCTCATTATCCTATCTCTTGCTTCTGCCTTCCCCTGGCTTAACACAGCTGGGAACAAGACCAGCAAGGTAGCGCAGGAAGCATATTCTGACATGGATGTTGTAGGAAAGAAATATGTCATTTCTTCTCATGTTAGGTTGTGTCTGAGGCTTCTTTACCAAAGGGCAAACTAACATGAGAAAAACCTATAAATATATTTGATATAAGTTTTACGTGACACAGGAATCCTTAGACATAAAAACCCAAAGAAACAGGTAAACCTTTTGAAGAGTGATGAAGAGTGCATCGTCATGGAGAAATATAATTAGAAGACTAAATGCTATAATCTAATGATAATTAGCTTGGGGGAAGTTATCAAGGATTGTTTGTTCACATTTTTCTTTATGTTCCTGTGTTTTCTGAGATAAGAATGTTTCTTTCCTTCAGACAGATAGAGAGAATCTCTTAAATGAGGGTCTTAGGACTCAAATGCCAAGGTGCCATATTTTGAGGTATCATACCCTGAATTCCACCAAGGTCAGTCTCCTGGGTCAAGACCAGAACAGAGAGGGGTAAATAATGGATATAGGAATGGGGTTGGGGGCAGGGACAAATGCAGATAATCAATACAAAAATAATCAGAATAATTTATTGAAATTTTAACAAACACTAAATTTCTCCATTCTCTAACTTTCACAGGTTGGGTTCCTTAGAACATGGACTCTGAGACAGAGGTTAGAAGTACTCTGTTATAGAATGCTCTTAGATTCAATTCAATTCCTGTGGTAGGAAAGTGAAGAGAGTTAAATAAAGAATAGGGAGTGGTAAAGCTGCAATGCATTCTGATTGGAATGACTGAATTTAGTCTCTATGGAGTTCTGCAAATGGGGTGACCCTTCAGAGCTGCCCTGAATTAGGGCAAGAAGCAGGCCTTTATGCTCCTATAAGGATCAGTATTTGGCTGCATATCATCTTGGGAAGTGGGCATAACCTTGTTCCCGGCACTCTTCTTTAGCCGAGGCATCCTCAAAGGGGATGACTACTGAGGATTTTCTACTGGCAGCAGTCCCAGCAGCTGCAGAATAAGTCCTTTATTTATGAGAGGAGGTGAGGTCATGTGTTATGACATCTACCACACCAACTATCTTGGAAATGTCAGCTTTAAAATGGACTAGAAAGATCTCTAGACATGATATAATTTCATTCACTCATTCATCCACGTATTGAACAAATACTTACTGAGCACCTGCTAGGTGTAAGTCACTGTGCCTTGGTTTGGGAATGTAGCCAAAAACAAAATAGACATGGTCTCTGCTCTTGGAAATTTAGCAAATAAGGAAGAAATGTAAACATCCAGGTGGATATTATATGCTAACTGCTAAGATGCAGGGAATAGCAGGTGTTTGAGACCATAGAAATGGGGTTCTCAACTAAGACTTGGGGGCATGCAGGTGAGTTATACTAAAATAAATGAGCAGAGGAGTGGTTTTAAGAGTAAGCAGGAGTTGTCTACATGAACCAGAGAGGGGATGGTATTCCAGAGAGAAGAATCAGCCTGTGGAGTTTTAGAGACAATAGAGAAAATGCCACGGTTAGAGAACTGAAAGATGTTAAATGTGAAGAATACAGAATACAGAGGGTCATTGGTGGGGACAGTGACAAGTGAAGAGACTGAACAGATAAATGATGCAAAGATTATTAAGAAGCCTATAGAACTTGTTATAGAATTTAGATTTAATCATGAGAGTAATCAAAAGTCATGGAGGAGTTTTTAGTAGATGTAGTAATAATCATATTTGCCTTTTAATTTGTCAAAATTTCATTTTTTTCTTGTTTTCTTCTTTTATTATTTGAACAAATATCAGTAAATATCAATTGATAAACTACTATATGCCAGACACTAGGTGCTCAGAATACAGTGTCAAACTAAGCTTTAGAGGATGAATTATAGGGAGCGACACAAACAAAAAGACTAGTTGCGAGGTCATTACAATAGCCCAGTTGAGGATTGTTAGTGGCTGATAGGATGATGTTTCTGAAAATGTAGAAAAGTTAAAGGTTCTTCAGGGTATTCAGGAGGTTTGTTTAAAATAAATTGGTAATTGATTGGTTGAGAGAGATGATGATGGGGAAGGAGAATTTAAGAATGACTTCCAGGTTTCTGGTTTTAGCACATAGATGTAGACTGGTGTCTTTCACTGAGATGGAGTGTTGGGGTATAAAAAAATTTAGTTTTAACATCTTGAATTTAAAATGCATGTGGGACATGTAAGAGAAGGTTAAGCGGCCCTAAAAATATACAGATTGAAAGCTTGAAAGATATCTCTTTCTAGTTAGTAATTTCTAATAATGTTACATTTATTTTTTTTTAATCTTTGGAAACTGTTTCTTCAGACATTGTAGCTTAAATTTGTTAGGTTTACCATGCCTAGCACACCTAACAAATTATGTTTATATGTACCACCAGTTGTATTGCATTAGTTTCTATCTTCATCAGAATCCTCTTACACCATTAGAAGTATGGATGAAAAGGGGGATTTCACTTACGTTGACATTGTATTTGATGTGACATAATGATGCTTCTATTTAATTCTAGTATTCTTCTAAACAACAGAATAGGATGCCGTACCCTGAGAGAACTGACATTAATTTCCTAGGCTCTTCCAAAATATCTTCATTGCTCTTAAATAGTGTACAGTTCCAGGAGACCTGAGATGCATTATTATATTCTGTAAAATTCATGTTTTAGCATAAAATAAAACACTAATTTTAATTTAGATTTAATTTTTATATATTAATTCACTTATTTTTCTTTATATTATTTAGTCAACATTGGAAAAATAATTCTCCACATCTGTTTTATTTAGCTACAAAATGTTGCGATTATTCAGCAAATTTCTTGAATTATATCTTTACCGTAACCGTACCACTAGCATTCATTAACTGAGTTGCAAAAATAAAATATTAGTATCTACTTGATAAGTGAAAAGAAGAATGTTTAATGTTAGAACTTAAAAGGGTTGGAAATCTAAATTTTATTGACTGCCTTGTTCCAGGAACTTCTGGCATGCCATTTCATTAAATCCTCACAACAACCCTGAAAAGTAGTTTCCCTCTCCTTTCTTACCAATGGGGAAACTATTTCAGGCTACATTCCTGATAACTCCCACTTGGTGGATCTACGGACACTTTAGCAGTTATTCCAATTTCAAAAGTCTATTGTAGCAGAAACTATCAGTGTTCTGTTTCCCTAGCCTGACTTCCAACATCAAACACCTACATTTTGACAGATGGCTGCCTCTTGCTAGTAAAACCCATTTTGTCCATGTGCATGGCTGGCCAGAAGTACCTGGGAATGAATATTTTCTATTGCACCTTTGTTAAATAAAACATATCTTTTCTTATAAGATAGCAGCATATAACTGATATCTTGGAAGTACTTCATTTCCAACAAATCAGCATTTTTTTTCCTTTTTAGTTCTTCTTTACAGATGTAAGAAAACTAAATATTACTTGAAACTTTAGGGAAAATGAGTGATACAAAAAGAGAAATGATAGAGAAAATGACTGATTATGATTATTGAAAAACAAATTTATAAAACTTTGGCCAAGGCAAGTGCTCATGCACTTAAAATTTTTAAATGTAAATTTCAATGTCAATTTAAAATTTAAATTAAAATTTAATTTAAAATATAAATTAAATTTAAAAATGTAATTCATGGAAAAGGTAAAAAAAGGCTTATTATGAATTATTAAATAAGAACGTCTGTGGATTTTTTAAAAATATCTCTGGGATTGACCTTTTTGCAAGCAAAATTTAACGCATGCTTTGCTTTAACTTTTGAAGAGTTTAAAAAGTCACCAGATTCTAACTGTCAATCAAAAAGTTTCCAGCAGTACACACTGTTCCATAGCAGTATCCCCCCATGGCAGGGAAGGAATAAATGGTGTCTGAAAATAAAGCAGTTTTATGATTCTTAAAATCCATTGAATTTTAAGACAGATGCAAAGAAAACATCACTTTCACCCATTTGTTTTAGTCTTTCATGCTTAAAATATGCTATGTTGAATTACTTGGATGGAAATAGATAGAAAACTCCCTGACATTTTTTAAGCCATTGAGCTGGATGAAAAGGTTTTGTTTCTCTGGAGAGTTTTCATGCCATCTTTTATGGTAACTGCTGTGAGTAAGAACAGACATGCAACTTTTTCATGTCATCTCTTGATCACTCTCAAAAGAGTCCCACACAATTTCAATCCTCCAAAAACTTTTGTATAATCTTCATGAGAGTGTTCAGTTCTGTGAAATATTCAATTTGTGAGGCAGGTGGGAAAAAAGAAGATATTTGCTGCTAACTGCTAGTAACTATTCAAAAATAACAAAAGGGCTATAAACTCTCTGCTAATTTTTATGGCATTAAATCAAAATTAACAAAGAAGTTGAAATTGTTGATTGTCGTGACAAGTTTTCCAGTTCCTGAAATTACCATTTGCAGTAGTACCATTGTTAGAGTGCTTTTTAATGACAATATGTGTGTTTGTTTATACATGGCACTTATACAAATGACTCACAATCAAGTTATATTAAAAGTTATTATTTAGAATGACAAAGTTATTCTATTAAAAAAAGTTTTCTTATTTTTAAAAATACCTATAATGGTGCTTCATTTTCATTTTGCATTTATATTTATGAAATTCATTATACCTTTGAAATTTATGACTTAATTCACTTAAAATCTCCCTACTAAGAAACTGCTTAGTAAATTCCAAATGCAATTAGAAAGCAAAAAAGTTTATAATTCTAATTAGACTTAAAGCTATGATTTTATTTTTATTGTTAAATAGAAATAAAAGTCAATTCCAATGTAGGAGATTCTGTCTTATGTATAGGACCTTCTGCCGTAATTTTGTGTCTGTAGAAACTTATGGTTTAGTGTACTTTTATGGATTATTTACTTAAATTTCAATTGTCTACTCTAATTTTCAGAGACTGAAGTGCTATTAAACATTTTCATATAATAAGAAAGGCACAATGAACCTAAGACCACGTTGACGATATTGGTTGCAGATTTACAGATTTCAAATTCAAACTACTGTAAAATGTAGTTTATTGTGTAAATGTATTAATGTAACCTAATTCCCATAATCATGTTATAGAGTAACTTATTAAAAGCCTACTTACACTACCATGGCACACTATTACTTGCTCAAATAAAGTATTTTGCTGTTATAGTCAAGGTATATTAGTATATTACACTTTCACATTTATTTGGAGAAAAGATAAAAACAGCAAATATTTTTATACTGATATTTAACCCTTAGACATAGTTCCTTGTTTAAGTGAGTAAGAGTTTGTCTTACTATAAAATTATAAAAAAAAAAAAATCCTGGACCAAGCCTGATCTACAACTTGCAATGGGAAATAGCAAATGCCTGTCAGAGGGAGGATGGAGGATGGGAGATATGGGAGTCAATTATCAGCTCACCTCAGAATAATTATTTTCCCTCTCTCTTGAATTTTTTGTTTATCATACCCATTGCTTCAATGCCTTTTAAAATATGACATTTGTACCTTATTTGATGTATGCAATTGTTCCAATAGGAATTTGGGCCTTTCACCATATACTGTATCTTACTTGAAACTAAATAAATGTAGCTACATTTGAATGTTTTTTTTTTTTTTTACTTAAATATACCTTAAGGAAATAAAAAAGCAAAACACAAAATGAGAGAAGATATTTGCAACACACATATTGCAAATGACTAATATCTGGATAATATAAAGAACTATTACAAATCAATAAGCAAAAAACAGATAATTTAATAGAAAAATAAGCTAAAGAGGATATTTGCATCACCAGTAAACATATTGAAAGGGTGTTTAACTTTATTGGTCATCAGGAAAACTCAAATTAAATCTACCATACAATACTATTATAATCCCAAAAAGAAGGCTAAAAAAAAAAAAAAAAAGGCAGCGAAGATGAAGCATTGAAGAGTAAGTGGAACAATTGGAATTTTCACACAGCACTAATGGAGGAATTAACTGCTATAATCATTTTGTTAAACTACTTTGTATTATCTACTAAAGCTTAACATGTGTACATCCTAAGAACTAACCATTCCTACAATAAAAATGCACATATATATTCATGAAAAAACATATACAATGATGTTCATTGTAGTATTATTTATAATAAACACAAATGGAAAACCACCCAAATACTCATCAATAGCAGTTTGGATATATAAATTATAGTATATTCACAATGGAATATACACACAAGGTAACAAGAATTAATCATCTACAGCTATACAGAGCTGCACAGATAAATCTGGCAAGCATAACAATGAGTAAGAATGCTTGTGAAACCAAAAAAAAACCCTAGAAAACAAAAGAGCAAATAAAATATGATTCCATGTATATAAGGTTCAAAAGCAGTAAACACCAAACTTTGTTTTAAAATTCAGGAGAGTGATTACTATCAGGTTAGTATTGTTACAGTCTCACCAATGCACCTTAATGTAGCAGTTTTTCTCCATTCAGTATGATACTAGCTGTGGGTCTATAATATATAACTTTTATTGCGTTGCAGTATTTTCTTCTATTCCCAGCTTTTTGAGGATTTTTATAACAAATGGATATTGAATGTTATCCAATGCTTTTTCAGCATCAGTTGAAATTATTAAATGGTTTTTTTTTGTTTTTGTTTTTGTTTTTTTTCTGAGATGGAGTCTCACACTGTCGCCTGGGCTGGAGTGCAGTGGCACAATCTCGGCTCACTGCAACCTCCGCTTCCTGGGTTCAAGCGATTCTCTTGCCTCAGCCTCCCGAATAGCTGGGATTACAGGCATGCGCCACCACACTCGGCTAATTTTCGTATTTTTAGAAGAGACGGGGTTTTGCCATGTTGCCCAGGCTGGTCTCGAACTCCTGACCTTGTGATCTGCCCTCCTCAGCCTCCCAAAGTGCTGGGATTATAGGCGTGAGCCACCATGCCCGGCCAAAATTATTAAATGGTTTTTGTCCTTCATTCTGTTGATCAGATGTATCATGTAGATTGATTTGCATATGTTGAACCATCCTTGCATCTAAACTGTTTCTTCTTTAGGAGGCATCCTAATTGCAGTAACTCTGTGGTTCTTACAGACTCGTAGAGTTTCCATCTTGATAGTTTTGGATAAGATCTGGAAGAATTATCTAGATTACCAGGCTGAGACTCCTGTTCTCTTCCCTTACTTTTTCCCAAACAAACAGAGTCTCTCTCTCTCTCTTTTGAGACACCTGGAGCTGCAGGTGGTGTGACACAAGCACCTCAGTAGTCACCACCAGTGAGACTGTGTTGAGTCAGATCTGAAGAAAGCATAGCATGGGATCTTATCCAAGGCCTGCTGTAATCGCTCACTGGCTACTGCCTATGTTTGCTCAAGGCACCAGGGGTCTAAAAACAGCATATGGCAAATCCAGCCAGATCTGTGTCCTCACTTCAGGGTGGCAGCTTCCCTTAGACCCCAGGTCTGTCCAGAGTTGCCATCTGGGAGCCAGGGACTAGAGGCAAGATCCTTAGAAGTCTACCTGGTGTTCTATTGTACTGCAGCTGAGCTGGTACTCAAAACACTAGATGCAGTCCTTCCCACTTTTCTGTTCCCTTTCCAAAGGCAGAAGATCTTCATCTCATGGCCAGCACCACCACCACCACCATAGACCTATGGGGATAATTGCCAGACTATCACTGATGTTCCCCTAAGACTCAAGGTCTCTTAAGTCAGCTTGTGGTGACTGTTGCCTGGCCTGGAACTCATCCTCCAGGGCAGTGGGATCCCCTGTGTCCTAGGACAGTTCCAAAAATGCATTCCAAGAGCCGAGTCCTAAAATTTGGGACTTCAAGAGCCTGCCTAGTGCTCTTCCCCATTGTGGGCACGTTGATACTTAAGTCGCAAGGCAAAGTCTGCTTTACTTTTCTATCTGCTGTTCTTAAGTGGGTGGAGTGTCTTCCCATAGCTACTGGAGCTGGGAAAGTGCTGAGTCTTACCTGAAGAAGCGAGTCTCAGAGTCTCACTCACGGCCCTCTATATATAGTATGTGGGTATCACTGCTGGTTATTCAATGCTCAAGGGCTCTTCAGTTAGCAGGTGATACATCCTGCCAGGACTGGTTCCTTCCCTTCAAGGCAGCAGGTTCCCTTCTGGCCCATGGTGTGTCTAGAAATGTTGTCTGTGAGTTAGGACGTGGAAAGGGGGCCTCACAACTCTGATGATGCCCTATCCTGCTGTGGCTTTGCTGGTATCCAAAATACAAACAAAGTCCTCCCGCCTCTTTCCTCTTCTCTCCTCAAGTGGAGAGAAGGAGACTCTTTTGGTGCCATGAGTTCTGCAGCCTAGGGTTTTTTTTCTTTTTCTTTTTTGAAATGAAGTCTCGCTCTTGTCGCCCAGGCTGGAATGGAATGGTGCAATATTGGCTCACTGCAACCTCCTCCTCCTGAGTTCAAGGGATTGTCCTGCCTCAGCTTCCTGAGTAGCTGGGATTACAAGCTCCCACCACCATGCCCGGCTAATTTTTGTATTTTTAGTAGAGATGAGGTTTCACCATGTTGGCTAGGCTGATCTCAAACTCCTGACCTCAGGCGATCCACCCACCTTGGCCCCCAAAGTGCTGGGATTACAGGTGTGAGCCACCGTACCCAGCCCGGCCTAGGGTTTTGGGAGGGGTGATGCTAACACTCCCTTAGCCTCCCCAACTAGTGTCTCAGTAGGTAACATGCCCCTCCAGTCCACTGTCTCTGGGCCCAGTTCAGTACTAGGACTCACCATAGGTGTTTCAGTCCTTGTGGCCTACACTGCTTTTCAAGTTTATTTAACTCCCCAAGGCACTTTAGCAAGCAGTGGTGAGGGATGTGGGAACTCGAGTTCCCACTTCTGGTATTGGTAATTCCCCTCTTGTTAGGGCTGTTTTAAATGCTCTCTCCCTTGGTGGGCATCAGCTGAGTTTGGTGTGGGTTTTTTTTTTTTCTGTTATAATAGGACGGCACTGAGTTTAATGCCTCACAAATGCCATGATCTCCCTCACCCTAGTGCACTAAAATGTTTCCACACCATGCCACCACTGCCAGGGGATAGTGAATGGGTGGTGTTTTCGCTATTCAAGATTTTTTTACCTACCTTTTCACTGCCTCTTTCAGTGATACAAAGTTAAAAACAGGTGCTCTGTGTGCTCACTTGATTTTTGGTTCTTATGAACGTTTATTTTGTGTATATATTTGTTAAATTGGTGTCCTTGCAAGAGAGGCAATCAATGGACCCTTCTATTCTGCCATCTTGCTCTGCCTCAAATCTCACCTTGAACAGTTGTTGACCAATTTCAACCCAAGTAGTATATCCAGCTCTGAGAAAGTTCCAAGTTGGCTAGATAAAAACAAACAACAATAATTCTTTGAGAATGGGATAGTACTTTTCCCTCTACTACTAGAAAATCAGTACTAAAAATTTCTTCCAAGAATGCAGTCTATTTTCTTCAAGGTCATCACCAAAATGAGTAGTAGAGGATGGTACCAAAGTAAATAAAAATGCCACAAAGCTCTTTTACCAAGACTCAGCTGTTATTATTTTCTTCAATAACCACTCCCCTGGTTTCTGTAAGTTTTTATTACATTTGGTGGTTCTGAAAAAGTTGATTCTGATTGTTTTTGCTAGCTTATTCACTGCTTTTTGGGTGGGATGGACATTTTGGGTTTCCTTTCTAGCTTTTTTTTTTCTAATATCATGTTATCTTAATAAATTTAAAAGAAAAAAATCATATAATGTATGTCCTTGGACCACAATGGAATTAACATTTAAATCAATAGGAGAAAGATAGCTGAAAACTTTTAAAATATTTCAAGATTAGGCACTAAACTTTTAAATAACAAATGTATCAAAGAAAAACACTCAAGATAAATTAAAAAATATATTGTCAACTAAATCAAAGAAAAATACAACTTATAAAAATTTGTGGAAGGCAGCAAAGGCAGTGAAGAGTGGAAAATGTATAGAATTAAATGCAGAAATTAGAAAAGAACAAATCTCTGAAATCGGTAACCAAAGTTCATCTCATATAATAATAAAGTGACAAAGATAGCCTAAAGAAAGTAAAATAATAAATGACTTAAAGTCAATAATCAACAAAATTAAAAGCAAAAATAATACAGAAAAAAAGGAAAAACCAAATCTGGTTTTTGAAAAGATAGTACAATCTTTTAACCTCTAGCAAGTCTAGCCAAGAAAAAGAAGAGATAAATTAACAATATTTTTTACAAAGTAAAGTCAGTCTACTAATCACAAATAATTGACAATAACTCCTAAGAAGATATAAGCAATGATAACATTGTCACAAAATATACTGTTAATATACAAAATTTGATGCCTAGGAATACATCTAACTAATAAGGTTAAAAATTTCCACACACACACAAACACAAACACACACAAATAAAAAAAAACACTGCTAAAAGAAATCATAGGTGACATAAACAAATGGAAAAGACTTCTATGTTCCTGGATTGGAAGAATTAATGCCATTAAAATGCCCATACTGTCCAAAGCAACTACAGATTCAACACTGTTCCTATCAAACTACCAACATAATTTTTTTTTCACAGAATTCGTAAAAACTATTCTAAGATTCACAGAGAAACAAAAAACAGCCCAGATAGCCAAAGCATTCATGTGGAAAAAGATCAAATCCAGAGGCATCACATCACCCAACTTCAAACTATACTATAAGTCAACAGTAACCAAAATACCATGGTTCTGGTACAAAGCAGACACCTAGAACAATGGAAGATAATATATAACCCATAAATAAAGCTTCACACCTACATTTATCTCATCTTCAGCAGTCAATAAAAATAATCAATGAGGAAAGGACTCCTTGTTCAATAAATAGGGCTGGGATAGCTACAAGGCATATGCAAAAGAATTAAACTGGACTCCTACAATTCACCACATACAAAAATAAACTCAAGATGCATGAAAGATTTAAATGTAATACCTCAAAGTATAAGAATCCTAAAGCAAAACCTAGGAAACACCATTCTGG
Source organism: Homo sapiens (assembly GCF_000001405.40). Taxonomy (NCBI): domain Eukaryota; kingdom Metazoa; phylum Chordata; class Mammalia; order Primates; family Hominidae; genus Homo; species Homo sapiens. Next base: position 6,584,342 of record NC_000024.10, on the reverse strand, counting down.
ATATCAGTCTTGGGAAAGAATTTATGACTAAGTCCTCAAAAGCAAATGCAACAAAACCAAAAAATGGACAAGTAGAACCTAATTAAAGAGCTTACGCACAGCAAAAGAAACTATAAACAGAGTAAAGAGACAACCTACAGAATGGGAGAAAATATTTACAAACTATGCATCTGACAAAGGTCTAATATCCAAAGTCTATAAGTAACTTAAACAATTGAACAGGCAAAGAATAAATAACCCCATTAAAAAATGGATAAAAGACATAAAGAGAAACTTCTCAAAAGAAGACATACAAGTGGTCAACACACATATAAATGAATGGTCAACATCACTAATCATCAGAGAAATACAAATCATAACAACAATAAGGTACTTTTAAACACCAGTCAGAATGTCTCTTATTAAAAATAAAAAAAAAAAAAAAAACAGTTGTTGGTGAGGCTGCTGAGAAAGGGAATGCTTACACACTGTATTCGTTAGGGTTCTCTAGAGGGACAGAACTAATAGGATATATGTATATATGAAAGGGAGTTTATGTTGCTTATCAGCTTAAGGAGATTTTGGGCTGAGATGATGGGGTTTTCTAAATATACAATTATGTCATCTGCAAACAGGGACAATTTGACTTCCTCTTTTCCTAATTGAATACCCTTTATTTCTTTCTCCTGCCTGATTGTCCTGGCCAGAACTTCCAACACTATGTTGAATAGGTGTGGTGAGAGAGGGCATCCCTGTCTTGTGCCAGTTTTCAAAGGGAATGCTTCCAGTTTTTGCCCATTCAGTATGATATTGTCTGAGGGTACAAAATCAATGTGCAAAAATCACAAGCATTCCTATACAATAACAGAAAAACAGAGAGCCAAATCATGAGTGAACTCGCATTCACAATTGCTTCAAAGAGAATAAAATACCTAGGAATCCAACTTACAGGGGATGTGAAGGGCCTATTCAAGGAGAACTACAAAACACTGCTCAATGAAATAAAAGAGGACACAAACAAATGGAAAAACATTCCATGCTCATGGATAGGAAGAACCAATATCTTGAAAATGGCCATAATGCCCAAGGTAATTTATAGATTCAATGCCATCCCCATCAAGCTACCAAGGACTTTCTTCACAGAATTGGAAAAAACTACTCTAAAGTTCATATGGAACCAAAAAAGAGCCCGCATTGCCAAGACAATCCTAAACCAAAAGAACAAAGCTGGAGGCATCACACTACCTGACTTCAAACTATACTATAAGGTTACAGTAACCAAAACAGCATGGTACTGGTACCAAAACAGAGAGATAGACCAATGGAACAGAACAGAACCCTCAGAAATAATACCACACATCTACAACCATCTGATCTTTGACAAACCTGACAAAAACAAGAAATGGGGAAAGGATTCCCTATTTAATAAATGGTGCTGAGAAAACTGACTAGCCATATGTAGAAAGCTGAAACTGGATCCCTTTCTTACACCTTATACAAAAATTAATTCAAGATGGATTAAAGACTTAAATATCAGACCTAAAACTATAAAAATTCTAGAAGAAAACCTAGGCATTACCATTCAGGACATAGGCATGGGCAAGGACTTCATGTCTAAAACACCAAAAGCAATGGCAACAAAAACCAAAATTGACAAATGGGATCTAATTAAACCAAAGAGCTTCTGCACAGCAAAAGAAACTACCATCAGAGTGGTCAGGCAACCTACAGAATGGGAGAAAATGTTTGCAATCTACTCATCTGACAAAGGGATAATATCCAGAATCTACAAAGAACACAAACAAATTTACAAGAAAAAATCAACCCCATCACAAAGTGGGCAAAGGATATGAACAGACACTTCTCAAAAGAAGACATTTATGCCAACAGACACATGAAAAAATGCTCATCATCACTGGCCATCAGAGAAATGCAAATTAAAACCACAATGGGATACCATCTCACACCAGTTAGAATGGCAATCATTAAAAAGTTAGGAAACAACAGGTGCTGGAGAGGATGTGAAGAAATAGGAACACTTTTACACTGTTGGTGGGAGTGTAAACTAGTTCAACCATTGTGGAAGTCAGTGTGGTGATTCCTCAGGGATCTAGAACTAGAAATACCATTTGACCCAGCCATCCCATTACTGGGTATATACCCAAAGGATTATAAATCATGCTGCTATAAAGACACATGCACATGTATGTTTATTGCAGCACTATTCACAATAGCAAAGACTTGGAACCAACCTAAATGCCCATCAATGATAGACTGGATTAAGAAAATGTGGCACATATACACTATGGAATACTATGCAGCCATAAAAAACGATGAGTTCATGTCCTTTGTAGGGACATGGACGAAGCTGGAAACCATCACTCTTAGCAAACTATTGCAAGGGCAGAAAACCAAACACCATATGTTCTCATAGGTGGGAATTGAACAATGAGAACACTTGGACACAGGGAGGGGAACATCACACAATGGGGCCTGTTGTGGGGTGGGGGGAGGGGGGAGGGAAAGCATTAGGAGGTATACCTAATGTAAATGACCAGCTAATGGGTGCAGCACACCAACATGGCACATGTATACATATATAACAAACGTGCACATTGTGCACATGTACCCTAGAACTTAAAGTATAATAATAAAAATAAAAAGAAAGGGAGTTTATTAGGGAGAATTGGTTCATATGATCACAAGGTGAAGTTCCAGAAAGGCCATCTGCAATCTGCAGAAGAAAGAACCCAGTAGTGGCTCAGTCCAAGATCAAAAGCCTCAAAAGCAGAGAAGCTGACAGTGCAGCCTTTAGTTTGGGGTTGAAGGCCCAAGAGTTCCGGGCAAACCACTGGTGTAAGTCCAAGAGTACAAAGGCTGAAGAATCTGGAGTCTGACGTCTGAGGGAAGGAGAAACAGAAGTAAGCATACAGCACAGGAGAAAGATGAAAGCCAGAAGACTCAGAAAGCCAATTTACATTCCACTTTCTTCTGCCCACTCTTTTCTCGTCATGCTGGCAGCCTATTGGATGGTGACCACCACATTTTGGGTGAGTCTTCCTCTCCCAGTCCACTTACTCATATGTCAGTCTCCTCTGGCAACATCCCCACAGACACACCCAGAAGCAATACCTTACCAGCTATCTAGGAATTCTTCAATCTAGTCAAGTTGATACCTAATATTAACCATTACACACATCATTTGTGGGAATGTATATTAGTTCAGACTCTTTGGAGAACAGTATGGAGATTTGTCAAAGAACTTGCTACAGTTTGACCCAGCAATCCCATTACTGGATATATATCCAAAAGAAAACAAATAATTCTATCAAAAAGACACATGCAAGTGTATGTTTATCACAGCATTATTCACAATAGCAAAGACATGTGATCAACCTAGGTGTCCTCTAACAGTGGATTGGATAAAGAAAATGTGGTACATATACACCATGGAATACAATATAGCCGTAAAAATGATGGACATGGATGCAGCTGGAGGCCATTATCATAAGCTAATTAGCACAAGAACAGAAAATCAAATACCGCATTATCTCACACACAGGTGAGGCTAAACATTGGGTACTCATGAGCATTAAGATGGCAACAATAGACACTGGGGACTACTGCAAGGGACAATGGTTGAAAAACTGTTGGGTAGTCTTCTCAGTGCCTGGGTGATAGGATCTTTCATACCGTAAACCTCTCAGCATGACGTAATATACCAAGGTAACAAAACCTTTTGTGTACCACCTGAATCTAAAATAAAATTTGAAAAACAAAACAAAAAAATGTAATTTTTTTAACAGAAATGAACACTTGGAATTATATGTAAAAAATATAATTAGCTTTATAACTTAAAAACAATGCAAAAACACCTAGGTGTATATTTAATAAAATATGTATAGTACTTGTACACAGAAAACGACAAAACTCTAATGAAAAAAATCACAGATATAAATAAATGAAGAGATATTTCATATTTATGGATTAGAAAACTCAACATTGTTAAGATGTGAATTTTTCCCAAATTGACAACAACGTGAAACAAAATTTCAGGAAGATATTTTGTGGTTTTTGAAAAATTAATATTAAAGTTTTTACGAGATGGCAAAGGACTCTTTTGTTTGTTTGTTTTGGAGATGGAGTCTTGCTCCGTTGCCCTGGCTGGAGTGCAGTGGCTCAATCATGGCTCACTGCAACTTCTGCTTCCTGGGTTCAAGTGACTTTCCTGCCTCAGCCTCCTGAGTAGCTGGGACTACAGGTGTGTGTGGCCATGCCCGGCTAATTTTTGTATTTTTAGTAGAGTTGAGGCTTCACGATGTTGGCCAGGTTGGTCTCAAACTCCTAACCTCAGGTGATCCACCCACCTCAGACTCACAAAGTGCTGGGATTAGAGGTGTGAGCCACGGTGCCCAGCCAGGACTCTTAATAGCCAACAAAATCCTGAAGAAAAAGAAAAAAAATTTGCAGGTATGACATACCTAACTTCAGGCACAGTATAAAGATACTGTAATTGAGACATTTCATTGGTAAAAGAATAGGCATATAGATTAATGGGACATAATAGAGAATTCAGAAATACACCCATAGAAATATAGTCAATGGGTCTTTGTCAAAAAAAAAAAAAAAACAAAGAAAAAACAAAGGAAATTTAATGGAGAGAGAATAATTTGTCAACAAATGGTCCTGGAATAATTGGAAATACATTATGTAAGAAAAAAAAGTAATTTAGGCACAGTCTTTATGCCTTTCACAAAAATTTACTCAAAATGAGTCAGACCTAAAGGTAAAATGCAAAACTATAAAACTGATAGAATAAAACAAGAGAAAATATAGATGGCCTTTGGTTTTGGATGATTTTTTTAGCTACAACACCAAAAGCAGAATTCATGAAAGAAAAATTGATAAACTAGACTTTATTAAAATTTAAAATATCTGCTGCATAATTTATGCTCTTCAGACATTGAAAGGAGAAGTTAAATACTAGAAAAACAATATATCTAATAAAGGACATGTGCCAAAAATATACAAAGAATTCTTGTAACTGAACAATAAGAAACAAGCAACTCAATTAGTAAATAGGCAAAATACTGTGCAAACATGCCATGAAAGAAGATGGTAAATAAGCAAGTGAAAAGATGTTCAAGTCATATGTAATTAGGTAATTGCAAATTAAAAGAATGGGATACCACTATACACTTATTAAAATAGCTAAAATTATAAAACTGACTATACAAAATGTTGGCAAGGATGTTGCTATGGTTTGAAAGTTTGTATCCCTCAAGATTCATGTTGAAACTTAATTTCCAGTGTAACAGTATTAAAAGGTGGGGCCTTTAGGATGTTATTAGGCCATGAGGGATCTGCCTTCACAGATGGGATTAGTGTTCTTTAAAATAGACTTCACATAGACAGTGTGGCCCCTTTTTTTTGCCCAGCCATACCTTCTGCCTTGTGAAAACACACTGTACAAGGCACTATAACAGATGCAGAGACAAGGGCCCTTTCCAGACACCTAACCTGCCAGTGCCTTGATTTTGGACTTAGCCTTCAGAACTGTGAGAAAATACATTATTATTTATAAATTACTTACCCAGTCTCAGGTATTTTGTTGTAGTTCCACAAATAGACTAAAACAAATATGGAGCAATGGGAATTCCTTTTGTTTTCTTTTTTTTTTAAATTATACTTTAAGTTCTAGGGTACAATGTGCACAACGTGCAGGTTTGTTACATAGGTATACATGTGCCATGGTGGTTTGCTGCACACATCAACTCATCATTTACATTAGGTATTTATCCTAATGCTATCCTTCCCCCAGCCGCCTACCCCCTGACAGGCCCTGGTGTGTGATGTTCCCCGCCCTGTGTCCATGTGTTCTCATTGTTCAACTCCAATTTAAGAGTGAGAACATGTGGTGTTTGGTTTTCTGTCCTTGTGTTAGTTTGTTGAGAATGATGGTTTCCAGCTTCACCCATGTCCCTGCAAAGGACATGAACTCATCCTTTTTTATGGCTGCATAGTATTCCATGGTCCATGGTGTATATGTGCCATATTTTCTTAATCCAGTCTATCATTGATGGATATTTGGGCTGGTTCCAAGTCTTTGCTATTGTGAATAGTGCTGCAATGAACATATGTGTGCATGTGTCTTTATCGTAGAATGATTTATAATCCTTTGGGTATATACCCAGTAATGAGATTGCTGGGTCAAATGGTATTTCTAGTTCTAGATCCTTGAGGAATCACCACACTGTCTTCCACAATGGTGGAATTAATTTACACTCCCACCAACAGTGTGAAAGTGTTCGTATTTCTCTACATCCTCTCCAACATCTGTTGTTTCCTGACTTTTTAATGATCGCCATTCTAACTGGCATGAGGTGGTATCTCATTGTGGTTTTGATTTGCATTGCTCTAATGACCAGTGATGATGAGCATTTTTGCATATGTATGTTGGTTGCATAAATGACTTCCTTTGAGAAGTGTCTGTTCATATCCTTTGCCCACTGGGAATTCTTAATAATTGCTGGTGGGAATGCAAAATGGTTCAGCTAGTTTGGAAGACATCGTGGCAGTTTCTTAATAGTCTAAAGATAATTACACCACATGATCTAGCAATTGTGCTCTTAGATATTTATGCAACTGAGTTGAAAACTTATGTCCTTACAAAAATGTGCAAAAAATGTTTATAGAAGCTTCATATATAATTGCCAAAAATGAGAAACAAACAATATTTTCTTCAAGATATGAATGCATAAACAGACTATAATACATCTATAGGTTGAAGTATTATTTGGCAAAAAATAAAATAAATTAACTATAAAGCAACCAAAAGACATGAATAGATCTTAAAAGGATAGTATAGTATAAAATAAGTCAGTCTGAAAATGCTGTATACTTTAAAATTCCAATTATGTGACATTTTTTAAAAAGCAAAACTATAAAGACAGTAAAAACGTTTATGGTTGGCAGGGGTTTTGTGAGGAAGGTAGAGAAGGTAAAGGTGGAAAAAAGCAAAATTTTAGAGCAGTTAAATTAATTAGTGTGATACTGTAATAGTGGACACATGCCATTATGTCTTTGTCAAACCCATTGAACTTTATACTATATAGAGTAAACCTTAAATGTATGCATATATAAAAATAATTAAGAGGGTCAGAAGATCCGGGAAAGAATGCAGACTGTAACAAGATCTAACTGTATTATCAATGTCTGAAACAGCCTCATTGAAGAGGGTAGAGGAATAAGGTACTGACCTAAGTTACTTAGAAAATGAATAGAGAATGCAAAGCTAAATAAGAAAAAGGACTTGCCCGTAAGCACTGTACTCTTGTTAACCATGTTAATAGTCATAGGATTGTGTATTAGTCCATTCTCACATTGCTAAAAAGAAATACCTGCCACTGGGTAATAGGTGTATATATATATATGTGTGTGTGTGTGTGTGTGTATTTATATATATAATATATATGTGTATATATATAACATATATCAGAGACCTTACAATTATATATACAATTATATATATATATGTGTGTGTGTATATATATATATATATATATATAGTTTAGTTTGTTCATGGTTCTGCAGGCTGTACAGAAAGCATAGCAAAATCAGCTTCTGGGGAGGCCTCAGGGAACTTACAACCATGGTGGAAGGCAAAGGGTAAGCAAGGCATCTCACATCATGGGAGCAGGAGCAAGGAGTAGGGGGTGCTACATACTTTTAAACAGCCAGATATCAGGATAACTCACTCAGTATCACTAAGACAATACTAAGGGGGATGGTGCTAAGCCATTCTTGAGAAATCTGCCCCCATGTTCTAATCACCTCCCACCAGTCCCTCCTCCAACAATGGGGATTACAATTCAATATAATATTTGGTAGGGACACTGATTCAAACCATAATGTTCTGCCTTTTGCCCTCCAAATCTTGTTTCCTTCTCAGATTGTAAACTACACTCATGCCTTCCCAACAGTCTCCCAAAGTCTTAACTCACTCCAGAACTAACTCAAAATTCTAAAGTCCAAGTTCTCATTTAAGACAAGGTTAGAAGTCCCTTCCACCTATGAGCTTGTACAATAAAAAAATGTTAGTTACTTCCAAGATACAATGGAGGTATAGGCACAAGGTAAATACTTTCATTCAAAAAATGAGAAATCAGCCAAAAAAAAGGTGGGGGGGACTTCAGGCCCTATGCAAGTCCAAAACCCAGCAGGGCAGCTGTTAAATTTTAAAGTTCCAAAATTATCTCCTTTGAATCCAAGTTTCATGTCCAGGCCACTCTGATGCAAGGGGTTGGCTCCCACAGTCTTGGACAGGTCTGCTCCCTTGGATTTTCAGGGTTCATTCCCCACGGCTGCTCTCATGGGCTGGTGTTGAATTCCTGTGGCTTTTCCAGGTGCATGGTGCACCTTTCAGTGGCTCTACCATTCTGGGTTCTGGAAGATGGTGACCCTTTTCTCACAGCTCCACTAGGGAGTGCCCAAGTAGAAACTCTGTGTGGGAACTCCAACCCCACATTTCCCCTCAACAATTTCCTAGTAGATGTTCTCCATGAGGGCCCTGCCCCTGCAACAGGATTCTGCCTGGACATCCAGGCTTTTCAATACATGTTCTGAAATCTAGGCAGAGGCTCCCAAGCCTCAACTCTTGCACTCTGTGCACCACAGGATTAACACCACTTGGAAGCTGCCAAGGATTATGGCTTGCACCCTCTGAAGTAGTATCTTGAGCTGTACCTTGGCCCCTTTGAGGCACAGCTGGAGCTGGAGTGACTAGGATGCAGGGATCAGTGTCCTGAGACTGTGCAGGGTAGCAGGGCCCACGGCCTGGTCTACAAAACCATTATTTTCTCCTAGACCCTGGGGCTTGTGATGGGAGAGGCTGCCATGAAGATCTCTAAAATGCCATGAAGGCCTTTTTTTTTTTGTCTTGGCTATCAGCACTGGCCTCCATTTGACATATATGAATTTCTGAAGCCTGCCTGAAATGCTTCCCTGAAAATGAGTTTTTCTTTTCTACTACACGTCCAAGCTGAAAATTTTTTAAACTTACACTCTGCTTCCCTTTTAAATATAAGTTCCAGTTTCAGGTCATTTCTTTGTTCATGCATATGAACATAGGCTGATAGAATCAGCCAGAGAACATCTTGACCACTTTGCTACTAAGAAATTTCTTCCACCAGATACTCTAAATCATCACTCACAAGTTCCACAAATCCCTAGGGCAAGGGGCACAATGCCTCCATGTTCTTTGCTAAAGCATAACAAATGTGACCTTTGCTCCAGTTCCCAATAAGTTTCTCATCTTCATCTGAGACCACCTCAGCGTGGTCTTTATTGCCCCTATCACTATCAGCATTTTGGTCAAAGCCATTCGACAAGTCTCTAGGAAGTTCCAAACTTTCCCTCATCTTCCTGTCTTCTTCTGAGCTCTACACACTCTTTCAACCTCTACCTGTTACCCAGTTCCAAAGTAGCTTCCACATTTTTAGCTACCTTTATAGTAATATACCACTCTTGGTACCAATATTCTGTATCAGTTTTTTCCTCACATTGCTATAAAGAAATACCTGAGACTGGGTAATTTATAAGGAAAAGAGGTTTAGTTGGCTCATGGTTTTGCAGGCTATACAAGAAGCATAGCAACATCAGCTTCTGGGGAAGCTTCAGGGAACTTACAATCATAAACAGAATGTGAAGGGGGTATGAGGCATCCTACATGGTGGGAGCAGGAGCAAGAGAGAGAAGGGGGAGGTGCTACACACTTTATACCAGCAGATGTCATGAGAACTCACTATACCAAGACAATACCAAGGTGGATGATGCTAAACCATTCACAAGAAACCTGCTCCCATGATGTAATCGCCTCCAACCAGGCCCACCTCCAACATTGGAGATTACAATTTAACATGAGATTTGGTGAGAACACATTAAAACCATATCAGGGTGTCAGTCAACAATTCTGATACTGCTATATATGTATATTAAAATTGAACAGTTACATAAATGTGTAGCAGATGGTGGGAGTCAGGTTGTGCTTTTGTACTGGAAAGTTATAGGAAAACAAGAACAGGCTGAAATAATCCATATGGTAATGCATTAGAGTTGGATGCATCAGGAAATAAACATGTTTAACTAAATGTAGAGACAGATGGTAAAATAGAGACATATTTATACATATGTGTATATAAATAGGTTAGTATACACATAAATAGTTCTTTGCTCTGTCAGCAGAGTGCCTAAAAGATATAATCCTAGTAGCAACAAGACAGCTAGGGCCTAGCTCTTGGTTCCATTCTCTCTTCAAAAGATGCAGGACTTCTTTGAGAAATGGCTGATACTAGGATTGCAGTAGGAAATATAGAAGATGAGCCTGAAGATTCTAGTAGTGCCAGAAAATATGGGCGTGTTCAAAAACAAGGTAACATTGATGGAGTTATGTCAAAGGGATACAGAAGTCAAATGACAAAGCTCTAAGTAGCCAAACCTGGCACAATTTAATCAATAGAATAACTAAAATAGTACTGTAGTATAATACAAAGTCTAAAATAAATACCTATGAGTTCAAACAGAAATAAATGAATTATTGAATAAATTAAAATTTGGGGAAAGAGGTAAATCTTCCATCTTGGAATCCAGATGATTTATGTAAACACTGCACTCTAAAGGAAGTGGAAGATAACTTCCCATTCCTTAAAAGTGGACTGCATATAGTTACTTTCCTCTAGAGTGTACTATATCTTAAGGAAATAAAATTACTTGTAAAGTGGAGAAACCTTAAAACTAATACTTCAGCTAGATAATCAAGATCAACATAATTACTCATAAATCAAGTATATACCTAGATCTAATATAAGAAAAATTCCACTTTGTGATCTTTCTCTCCTAAACCCGTATCATCAATCTAATCATGAAAATAGAATCATGGGGAATAAAACATCAGGCATATTCTAATAGGGGAACATCCTGACCAGTGGTAAGGAAAAATATATGCAAATATTTGTACTAGAGTTCTCCAGAGACGCAGATCCAATAGGATATAAAGAGAGATGTGTAGAAAGAGATTTATTCTGAAAGAATGGGTCATGTGTTTATGGGGGATAAGAAGTCCTGTGATCTGCCATCTGCAGTCTGGAGGCCTAGGAAAGCCAGTGGTATAGTTCCAATTCAAGTCCAAAGGCCTGAAAACCAAGAGAGCTCATAGTGTACCTTCAGTCTGAGTGGGAATACCTGAGAACCAGGGCACTGATATCCATAGGCAGAAGAAGATGGATATCCCAGCTCCTGAACAGTAAATTTGACCTATCTCCATTTTTTTTGTTGTTGTTGTTCTTTGTAGGCCCTCACTGAATTGAATGAGGCCTGCTCACATTGGTGAGGGTAATCTTTTTTTTTTTTTTTTTTTACATAGTGTACTGATTCAAATGATAATGTCTTCCAGAAATACCTTTATAGACATGGCCAGAAATAATGTTTACCAGCTATCTGGCATCTATTAGCCAAATAAGTTAACTACGACACTTTTTAAAACCATAAGGAAGAATGTATTCGGGACTATTGCAATAGGTGTTAAGATCATCACGGTAAGGGAGAGGGATTGATTTCAGCTCTGCATATAGCTTAGATATGTGGGAAGTTATAGCCAGTGAACAGTTAAGGGGTCAAAGGATGAAAAAATACCACAAAAGACAATAGGAAAAAAGATATTTTTTGCTAAACCAATTTAAGATTATTGCTGAATGTTGGGCAGTGTGATAAATATCAAGAGTGGGAAATATTTCCAAACCAACTTAGGAGTATTTTTGCTAAAACTAGGCTATGCAAGCCTGGCCAGGATGGGGGCCAAGGTTGAGGCCTAGTCCAGAAGAAAGCTCAGCAGAGCCTGACTGAAGTTTTATCAAGAAGAGAGTCTGGGCCGGGCGCGGTGGCTCACGCCTGTAATCCCAGCACTTTGGGAGGCAGAGACGGGTGGATCACGAGGTCAGGATATCCAGACCATCCTGGCTAACAAGGTGAAACCCCGTCTCTACTAAAAAAAATACAAAAAAATTAGCCGGGCGTGGTGGCGGGCGCCTGTAGTCCCAGCTATGAGGGAGGCTGAGGCAGGAGAATGGCGTGAACCCGGGAGGCGGAGCTTGAAGTGAGCCGAGACCGCACTACTGCACTCCAGCCTGGGCGACAGAGCGAGACTCTCTCAAAAAAAAGAAGAGAGTCTGTTACCAGTGCTCCTATCAAAGTAATAAAAAATAAAGTCTGAGACAACGTTAAAGCCAAGAGTAACCTAAGGATACATGACAATCAAAGCTAATGTGGTATCCTGAATGGAATCTTGAAGTACAAAAAGGCCATTAGGTAAACACTAAGGAAATCTGAATAAAATATGGAATGTAGTTAATTCATTAATCAAAAAATGTGCCATACTAATGTAAAATATCAATAATGGAATTGTGCAAGTCAGGGAATGGGGAGGTATACAGATACTCTCTGCTTCATTTTTCTATAAATCTAAAGCTGCTCTAAAAATAGTCTAGCAAGTATAATGAAAAAAGAGAGAAACATGTATTTCTGCCCTACTAACAAACTGATGGGTCTCCTAAGTATAACTTTATTTTGTACAATTAATTAATAAGCCATCATTATGCCTAGAGCTATTCAAGGTTTTATGGAAGATTCTATAGACCTACACTATAGCTTCTGCCCTCAGGAAGGTTGAAATCAACATATCCTCATTATTCACCTATAGACTGTGGATGCAGCAATAAACCTAAGGAAATTAGGAAAGTTTGCCCTTACACTTCTTGCCCTTTAGATGCCACTCCCCCTACCACAATATTCTAGTCCATATACATACCTATTTCTTCTGCCTTTTCTTAAACATTATCTCATGTTGATGTTCACTCAAGTCAACATTCTCTGAGACTGATTTATGTAGGATTTGATACTGTCCTTTCTCACTTTTGACCTTCATTCTCATACCTGGTTACATGAGCTTCTTTTCCACTTTAAGAGAGGCAGGGCACACCAGAAGTTGTCTTTACTACGGAGATGTGCTACTTTCCCCAGTGCTATATTCTGGACACTAAATTTTAATTTGAAAACTTTTTATGACCCTCATCTAAATTTCCCTCTACTATTGTTTTCTCCTCCAAGCGAGACTCTTTGATCCTGCAGAGGTAAGAATGTCTTACTTTAGGTTAAAATAAAATAAAACAAAAATCCAGCTCATGTTAATGTCCTAGAGCAATGACAAAGAAATCATACCCTGCCAGGTAACAATGTAATTTAGATAGTGACTTTCTAGAGACAGTGCACCTACTTTTATTTAATGCAGAGAAATGACTGGACTAATCACTGGACCCATTCTATATTTAGATACAAATACATACCATTGTGTTACCATGACCTACAGTATTTAGTACAGTAGCATGCTGTATATGTTTATAGCCTAGGAGCCTTAGGCTATACCAGCGAGCCTAGGGGTGTAGTAGGCTATACCATCTAGGTTTGTATAAGTACGCTCTATAATGTTCACACAATGAGAAAATTCTCTAATGACACATTTCCCAGAAAGTATCCCCACTATTAAGTGATGTGTGACTATACTTGCGTGGTGTTCCTTTATCTACACCATTTAGGTGAATGTCTACTCCACATGTGCACAGGAACAGTTATTTATGAAAAACAGTAAAATCTCTGAACTTTTATATTTAGATATATCTAATCTTCAAAAAATATGTGGAATATTTAATTTTCTTCTAATTTGCAGGTTCAAGAGAAAGTAAAGTATTTGTTCTACAGAAACAAGTCATTTAACTTTGTTTCTTTTGTTAGGGTAATGTCAATTTTTAGCTATTTCATTTATATTAACGTTTAATTTTAAAAATTACATTAGGAACAGATGACTGAAGACATGAGGGTCATAGCTGTGTTTTTAAAACAAATAAAAATAACACTCTAAGTTTGTAGTTTCCCGGTTGCTTTGTCATTGTGACAAGATGATATCATCTAAAAAAAAAACTAAAACAGCCTTATCTCCAGGGAGCCTTCAAATAGATCTGCATGCAAAAAGGTTTTATATTTTCTTTTAGCACTCAATCTAGACTGGCAGAGTGTATGTAGCAGGGTAAACATCAAACACTGAATAAAATAAATTTTATTTTATCTTCAAGAATGAGGCTAAATTCAAAAACTTGTCATATCTTCCCTGCCTGATGAAGCTAAACCTGCAAAAACCGTTTTAAATTACAAAATAAAAAAATCATATCTGACATTAAACACCTATTGAGCTGGAGACATTTTCTTTTTGCTCAAAGAAAAATTAGCCACACACTGCAGCTGCTTTTTTATGAAAAGCAAAGAAGAAAATCTAAAATCATGAGGAAAATAATGATTAATCTACCAAAAAAGTTAATGTATAATTGGTAGGTCAGCTTCTTCAAAGAAATACCTGCTCTAGTAATTATAAAATTAATGAAGAACTTTCTATTTTGAGAAACACATTATTACTTTACTGTATTATTCTACCTCAACTCACGTAATAAAGCCACATAGTGAAGCTGACTTCAAAGAAACAATTTTCTTAGTTTCTCTCAAGATCTTTGGTTGTAAGATAACAAAAAGGGACACGCCATAATGTAAGGATTGCCCGGGCATCACAACCAAATATGTACATAACCCATGATCCCAGTAAGAGATAATTTTTACTATCGAATCACCATTCCTTGTCTTCAGATCTTAAAGAAATGGTGGTGTATTCTGGAAAAACCTTTTAAAAATAATTGGTTCTTGGCTTCTTCCAAGAAGGAATTCAAGGGTGAGCTGGTGGTAGAAGGAAACAGCTTTATTGAAGTAGCAGTGTTAGAGCTCCATGACTCCTCCTGCAGAGCAGGACTACCTCACAAGCAGTTTATCTAGAGTAGCAGTTCAGGGCAGTTCTGAAGCAGCTTTTATATCAATTTTAATTACATGAAAATTAAGGTGTAGGTTATTCAGAAATGTCTAGAAAAGGGGTGGTAACTTCTGGGTCATTGCCAGGGAAGGGTAAACTCTCATAACTCTGGTGGGCATGTCTTATGGAGAGGTGCTTCGGATTCTTCCCTGTTTCTCAGTCTGGTCCGGAATGGAGTCCCACTTCCTATTTCTCTTTCACTCAACTTGCTATGTCATGCCCAGAGAACAACCATACCAATAATATAAAATATTTCAAAAAGCAGACTTTTAACAACAGTGTTTCAGCTTTCATAAGTTAGTTACATTCAGCCCACACTCAGTAATTTTTCCACACCATTTTTCTCTTTAAAGCTCACTTACTGTATTTATAGTTTGCCTCTTCTATTAGATACTAACTACTAAGGGCAGGACTTGTATTTTATTCATCATTACATCTCCCAAATCTGTAGAAGCAGTGTTTTAAGCACAGGAGGCCCTGAATATGGCTGGGCGCGGTGCCTCACACCTGTAATCCCAGTATTTTGGGAGGCCGAGGAGGGCAGATCATGAGGTCAGGAGATGGAGACCACCCTGGCTAACACGGTGAAACCCTGTCTCTACTAAAAATACAAAAAATTAGGCGAGCGTGGTGGTGGGTGCCGTAGTCCCAGCTACTTGGGAGGCTGAGGCAGGAGAATGGCGTGAACCCCAGAGGCGGAGCTTACAGTGAGCTGAGATTACCTCCAGCCTGGGCCACAGAGCAAGACTCCGTTTCAAAAAAAAAAAGAAAGAAAGAAAGCCCTGAATACTAGTCTCATACTAAACTTGGTTTAAAGAGACCAACATACATTAAAAATATAATACAGGCATTACTAGTTAAGGGTGGAGAGCAAGAGAAAGGGAAGGGTAAGGTACAGAGGTGAAAGAGACAATAAGAAATAGTAACAGATTGTTGGAGGTGAAAAAATATATATAAGAATAGTAAATAAAAAAGGTAGGGGAAAGAAGACATTAGATGAAATGACCAAAAGGGAGGGATTTCAAAAACCTATTAATTGAACGTAAGACTCTAATAAATGAACTTCATTGCATTATCTTCTTGTTGTATAAATAGCTATGATGTTCCTACTGTGTATCAGTTACTGTTCTAGGTGCTGGTTATTGGTTTTCAGTAGCTGACACTTGTACAAGAGATCAAGCAGTGAGAAACAAATAAGAAATAAATATTAAAAATTAAACAGAAACAACTTATGTGTAAAAAATGATGGTAAATGATACAATAGAGTGAATGGAACCCTAAGAGTTAGTGAAGGACCATTTGAGGAGGTGATATGTATCTAAAATCTAAACGATACTGAGGTCCAGCAGTGTGACATCACGGAGACGACCAGTCCAGAAAGTGGGAACAGGTAGTTCAAAGAGTATAATATGGGAACTTAGATAGTATATTTTTTAAAAAAGAGCATTGGTATTCCTAAAGCAAAGGGGTTAATGGAAAAGTGGTTCAAGATGAAGTTGTAGAAGAAGACAGAGGCCAGATCATGGGGCCAAGGTATGTAATTTGGTTTTTATTCCATAATAAAGGGAAGAAAACAAAGGATTTAAATGGCCATTGTGTTACACAATTCCTAGGGATACAATTCACCTAATATTTCTATGAATGTTTCCCCATGTAGATTATGATGTAGCAGGCAAAGAAGTCCAAAGTAGACCAGTGTAGCATAAAATTATCTTGAGCTTAAGAAAGGTGAATGCATAAAAATTTTGATCTGTCTAAAAGCAGAGCCTCCCAAAAGAATGCAAAAGAACCCAATTGTCATAAATCTCCTCCCTTGCGGCAACCAAGGAAGACTGACTTATCACCAGAGATGAGTTATTCAGAATTTTATATAACTTTACATCACACCCAAACAGATATGATAAAACGGTCATATTTTCCATCTATTCTCCTAAGACCCCTTTTTTTTCCTAAAAATTGTTTTTCCACAAGTGCACTATACCTTCCCTATTTCACCTATTAAGAAGTCATTTATTTTTCTGTAAATGCCCTTCTCTCCTTCCACTTTTCCTATTAAGGTGGTATGAAAAGCCCCAAATTCTAAATGCTTCCTTGAGTCACATTTTTCTGTGAAATCTCATACATAGTACAGGATTAAACCTGTTTTTTCTCTTGCTGGTCTGTCTTTTGTCAGCTTACTTTGTAGGCTCCAAAGTATAAAGCTAAGAAGGTAGAAGAAAAGATTTCTTTTGGATACAGGCCTGGTAAGCTTGGGCATGAAATGATCTGATTTATGATTATTTTGTTTTAAATTTATTTCTTGTTGCTCTATGGAGAGTGGCTTATAGGAGAAGAAGCAAAGAGACTACATAACAGGATATGGTAGAGAGAGCTATAATAATGGCTTAGACTAGAGAGATAATAGGGAGGAAAGCAACTAGAATTTTAGTATATATTTTGGATGTAGAATTAACAGAATTTACAGATAAACTGGATATGGAGAGTAAGAAAAAAAAAAGGAATCAAAGTTTTTTTTTTTTTTTTTTTTACTTTACCAGTAGATTGAAATCTAGTTGCATTTATTGAGATGGGAAACACAGAAAGAGAAATTAATGGAAGTAAAAGGCCTGCTACTTTGGTTATTCAGTTTGTTCCCTGCACATCCCTAGAGAAGCACCATTCTCAACTTAGGCATTGCATGTTTTGACATTTGTTTGGGAAACATTTTACAGATTGCAGAAAAGTGTCCTATTTTAATACTATGTGTATATCATACTTTTTCTTATAATAATCGTATCTTAAAAACAGGATTCCATTTTTATAATTCACATAAAGAAAGGGGCAGGATAAGAGAGTTGAAATCAATACTTTTGTTCTAGCCATATTAAATGTAAGGTATACAGTAGGTATTCCAGGAGAAATGTCAAATAGGAAGATGGATCTTAGAGCCTAGAGTTCTGATAATAGATAAGGATTAGACTTGCAGATCTGGGAATCACTAGCATTTATTAAGCATTTAAAGCCTAGAAAACAGATAAAATTACAAACGGAGAAAATACAGGTAGAAGTGACATATTAATCATTTTTTATATTTCTTAACTTTCTCTAATTAAAGAATAAAATTCTGGATTTAGAAGGTAACCTAGAGGACATCTCCATTCCACTCTAAAATTCACGAATCATCATTATAGCATCCCCGAGACGATATCATATAATATTTGAATATTTCCAGGTATAAGGAGTTTGCAGCTATGCATGGAAGCCCATTCCATCATTAAATTATTAGAATTTTAAAAAGACATCCTCACTTACAAGTTCTGCACTGATGACAGTAGATAATTTCTGAAATGCTCGACATAATCAAGCAAAGAGATTTTGATAAGGTTCCTGGAATTGGAGTTCCCCATCTTGTTCCAGCAATCTGAATTTATGTCTCCATAAATTTACCATCAGTAAATAATGTAGCACTAAAAAGACACTGGCTCATAGTATGTTCTTATCAGATTCTAAACATATGTAATAATATTACACATTTTTCTAATCAAGACTTTATTCAATAAGGCTCTTCTTTTATTCACTCAATGTATTTCAGAGCTATGCCTTATAACGATTCATAATACACAGATAAAAAGTACTTTGTGGAGAAGTAGTAGTGTTCATTTTGTTGTAAAATTGCCTTTTGGTACCAAGAGAATATGCCTGCATTAAAAATATGTAAGGAATTTTCTTCCCAGGTGTTTGGGTTCAGGAATAAATTTTATATAACTAAAGTAACTCAGGGCAGAGCATTTGGAGCCTGCTCGGCAACTGCTGCTGCCCTGAAGCCAGATGCATGATATGAAGTGACCTATGCAGGTTCACTGCATTTGGCGGCTCAAACTGTGGCATAGAACAACTACAAGGGCACTTCTCCTATACACTGTGATGTGACTGATGATCCTAGAGTTTTGCAACACAGGAGCCCTGGTCCCAAAAAGTAACCAGTCTTGTCAGACCAAAATACTGGAAAAGGCAGAGAAGTGGACAATTATAATAATTATTGCTAAATTTTATTGAACAACAAAGGAAATACTTTACCTTGACATTTTTTTTAACCTTCATAGCAGATAACCTTCATAGTAGATAATATTTTCTGTTTCACAGATAAGGAAAGTAACAAGTACAAAATGACACATTCCTGTTAACAAGTTGTTTACATTCAGTGAGAGAAAAACGTCTTTTAGGAATCATCACAATGCAATTTATTCCTCTTCAATGCAAAAAACTGAGTCATCTTTGACAATTTCATCTTTCGCCATATTTAGTAAGTTATCAGTTCTTATCAATCACACTCCCAAATGTGTATTATTCTTCTTGCCCCTGTCTACCTTCATTGTCACTGCCGTAGTTCTAACTTCTTTTTCCCAGTCTTTTTTTTAAGCCTTCTAACTTGTCTCTCTGTCATTAATTTTTTCCACCTCCAAACTATTGCAGGAATACCTAGTTTTATTGCACTTCATTTTATTGTACCTCACAGATATTGCATTTTTAAATCTTTTATTGGTATATATATATAATATTTTACATATTTATGGGCTACATGTGAGTTTTTGTTACATGTACAGTATGTGTAATGATCAAGTCAGGGTACTTGGAATATCTATCACCTTTAGTGTTTATCATTTTTCTGTGTTTGTATTATTTAAAGTCCCCTCTTCTGGTTACTTTAAAATATACATAATACTGTTGCTAACTATAGTTATCCTAACCTGCTATCAAACATTACAATTTATTTCTTCTATCTAACTGCACTTTTGTACCCGTAGCTAATCTCTCTTCATCTACCCTTCCTTCCATTAACCCTTCCCAGTCTCTGATAAGTATCATTCAATTCTCTATGTCCATGAGGTTGTTTTTTTACCTCCCACATAAGAGTGAGAACATACATTATTTGTCACTCTGTGTCTGGTTTATTTCACTTAACATAATGACCTTCAGTTCGATTCATGTTGCTGAAAATGACAAGGCTTCATTCTTGTTTATGGCTAAATAGCATTGGTAAACACTAAGCTTGATTTCATACCTTTACTATTGTGAATAATGCTATCATAAACCTGTGAGTGCAGGTATCTCTTTGATACATTGGTTTCCATTCCTTTGAATGGATACTCAGTACTGACTATGTTGGGTCATATAGTAGCTCTCTTTTTAACTGTCTGAGAAATCTTCATACTGTTTTCCATACTGGTTGTACTAATTTACAGTCACACCAAGAGTGTGTAAGAGTTGCCTTTATTCGGCATCCTCACCAGCAGCTGCTTTTTTTTTTTCTTTTTTGCCTTTTTAGTAATCCTCATTCTAACTGGTGTGAGATGATACTTTGTTGGGATTTTGATTTGCATTTCCATGGTGATTAATGATGTTGAGCATTTTTCATATGCCTGTTGGCCATTTTTATGTCTTCCTTTGTGAAATGTCTATGCGTGACACATAGCCATTTTAATTGATGCATTTGTTTTATTGTTTAGTTGTTGAGTCCCTTGTTGGATAAGTAATTTGAAAACATTTTCTCCTACTTAAGAGGTTGTCTCCTCACTCTGATGATAATTTATTCTGCTCAACCAAAGCTTTTTTGTGTAATATAGTCCCATTTGTTTTTATTTTTGTTACCTGTTCTTTTGAGGTCTTAGTTATAAAAATTTTGCCTAGACCAATTCCTGAAGCATATTCCCTATGTTTTCTACTGCTATAGTTTTGACTTTTACATTTAAGTCTTTAGTCCATTTTGAGGTTACTTTTGTATATGGTGAGAGATGGGGTCCAGTTTCATTCTTCTGTATCTGGTTATCCAATTTTTCCAGCACCATTTATGGAAGAAGGTTTTCCTTCCCCAGTGTATGTTCTTGGCAGCTTTGTCAAAGATCAGTTGCCTGTAAATATGTGGATTTATTTCTCTGTCGTCTATTCTGTTTCATTGGTCTGTATCTATTTTTATACCAATATCATGCTCTTTTGGTTATTATATTTTTGTAATCTGTTTTTAAGTCAGGTACTGTGATGCCTCCAATTTTGTTCTTTATGCTTAGGATTGCTTGACTATTCTGGCTTGTTTTCCCATATAAGTTTTAGGATTTTTTTCCATTTCTGTGAAAAATGATTTTAGTATTTTGATATGGATTGTATTGAATCTGTAGATTGCTTTGGGTAGTATGGTAATTTTAATGATATCAATTTTGATACACAAACATGGGATGTTTATCAATTTGTTTGTGTCCTCTTCAATTTCTTTCATCAGTATTTTGTAGTTTTCCTTATAACACCACCTTCATTGTTAAATTTATTCCTGGGTACTTTATTTTCTTTAGCATTGTAAATAAAATTTCCTTCTTGATTTCTTTTTTGGATATTTCATTATTGCTATATGGAAATGCTCCTGTGTTTTAATGTTAATTTTGTATCCTAAAACTTCACTGTATTTATCACTTCTAAAAGTTTCTTGGTAGAGTCTTTACATTTGTGTAGACATACTATCATGTTGTTTGCAAAGAGGGACAGTTTTATTTCCTTTTTTCCAATTTGGAAGTGTTTCGTTTCTTTTTTTAGCACATAGAAACTAGCCATGTATTTAATTTTTTTTATTTTTAAATTTTCTAATTTTATTATCTCAATAGCTTTGGGGGTACAAGTGGCTTTTGGTTACATGGATGAATTGTATTATGATGAAGTCTGAGATTTTAGTGCACTTATCACCCAAGTAGTGCATACTGTATACAATATGTAATTTTCTATCACTTACCCCTTCTGACTCTTCCTTCTGAGTCTCCATAGTCCATTATAGCTATCTGTCTGCCCTTGCATACCCATAGTTTAATTTCCACTTGTAAGTGAGAACATACAGTATTTGATTTTTCATTTTTGAGTTGCTTCACATAGAGTAATGAGCTCCAGCTCCATCTAAGTTGCTGCAAAAAACATTATTTCATTCTTTGTTATTGTTGAGTAGTATTCTATGGTATATATATATATATATATATATATATATATATATATAATATGACATTTTTATCCACTCATTTGTTGATGGGCATTTAGGTTGGTTCCATATCTTTGCAATTGTTTATTGTGCTGCAATAAACATAAACTACAGATGTCTTTTGGATATGATGACTTCTTTCCCTTTGGGTAGATACCCAGTAGGGGGATTGCTAGACAGAATGGTATATCTACTTTTAGTTTTTTGATAAATATCCATACTTTTTCCCATGAAGGTCGTCCTAATTTACATTCCCACCAGCATTGTATAAGCATTCCCTTTTCCTCCCATCCATGCCAGCATCTATTGTTTTTGACTCTTTAAGTAATAGCCATTCTGGCTGGGGTAAGGTGGTATTTACTGTGGTTTTAATATGCATTCCCTAATAATTAGTGATGTTGAGCATTTTTTCATATGTTTGTTGGTCATTTGTATATCTTTTTTTGAAAAATTTCTATTTACGTAATCTGCCCAGTTTTTTACGGGATTACTTGTTTTTTTCTTGCTGATTTCTTTGAGTTCCTTGTAGGTTCTGGATATTAGCCCTTTGTTGGATGCATAGTTTGCAAAGATTTTCTCCCACTTTGTGGGTTGTCTGTTCACTCAGCTGATTATTTCTTTGGCTGTGCAGAAGCTTTTTAGTTTAATTAGGTCCCACTTATTTATTTCTATTGCATTTGCTTTTGGGGTCTTAATCATAAATTCTTGGCCTAGGCCAATGTCTAGAAAAGTTTTTCCTAGGTAATCTTCCAGAATTTTTATGGTTTAAGTCATTGATCCATCTTAAGTTGATTTCTGTATAAGGTGAGAGATAGGGATACAGTTTTATTTTTCTACATGTAATTATCTAGTTTCCCCAGCACCATTTATTAAATAGGGTGTCCATTCTTCAATTTATGTTTTTGAATGACTTATTGAAGATTAGTTGGTTGTAAGTATTTGACTTTGTTTCTGAGTTCTCTATTCTGCTCCATTGGTCTTTGTGTCTATTTTTATACCAGTACTGTGGTGCTTTGATAACTATAGCCATGTGGCATAATTTGAAGTCAGGTAATGTGATTGCCTCTGGATTTGTTCTTTTTGCTTAGGCCAAATCAATAACTAATTTCCTTTTACAATCGTTGCAAAAAAACTGCCTAGGAAAATTATTAACCAAAGATGTGAAAGCTCTCTACAAGGACAACTACAAAACACTGCTGAAAGTAATCATAGATGATACAAACAAATGGAAATGCATCACATGCTCATGGGTTGAAAGAATCAATACTGTGAAGATGACCATACTGCCCAAAGCAATCTACAAATTCAATGCAATTCCTATCAAAATACCAACATCATTTTTCACAGAATCAGAAAAAAACATTCTAAAATTCATATAAAACTAAAAAAGAGCCCTAAAAGCCTTGCATTTTTTTTTGGCCTGATTTCTTCTAGCTAGCACTTCTAGCACTATGTTAAATAGCAGTGGTGAAAGTGGGCATTCTTCTCTTATTCCAGTTGTTAGAGGAATTGCTTTCAACTTTATCCTAATACAATGTTACTTGTAGCTTTGTCATATATGTCCTTTATTATTTTGAAATATGGTTATTCTTGGTCTAGTTGTTGAAAGAGTTTACCATGAAAGGTTGTTAAATTTTGTCAAATGTTTTTTCTTTGTCTGCTAAGAGGATCATATTTTTTTCTTCAATCTGTTGATGTAATGTATCGTGTTTATTGATTTGCACCTGTTGAACCATACTTGCATCTCTGAAATAAATCCCACTTGATCATGATGTACTTTTTATTGAAGTGCAGTTTGATTCAGTTAGCTAGTATTTGTTGAGTATTTTTACTTTTATGTTCATCAGGGATATTAGCCTGTGGTTTTCTTTTTTGTGGTGTCTTGATTTGCTTTTGGTATCAGGGTAATGATGGCCTAATGGAGTAAGTTAGAGAGAATATCCTCCTCTTCAATTTTTAGGAATAGTTTGAGTAGAATTGGTATTATTAGTTTTTCTTCATATGTTTGGTAAAATTCAACAGTGAACTCATCTAATCCTGGACTTTTCTGGGGAGAGGGGAGATTTTCTGTTACTAATATAATTTCATTACTCAATATTGGTCTGCTCACATTTTCTTGTTGGTTTTTTTTTTTCCGATCCAATCTTGGTAGGTTGTTTGTTTCAAGAAATTTATTCATTTACTCTCAGTTTTTTACTTTGTCAGTTTATAGTTGTTCCTAATAGTCTCCGATGTTCTTTTGTATTTATGTAGTATTAGCTGTAACATCTACTTTTTCATTGTTGATTTTGTTATTTGGGTATGCTTGATTAGTATTGTTAGCAGTTTATTAATTTTGTTTATCTTTTCAAAGAACCAACTTTTCATTAATTATTTGTATTTCTTTACTCTGAATTTTGTTTAGGTTTCCTCTGATCTTTGTTATTTCTTCTGTCAATTTGGGATTTGGTTTGTTCTTGCTTTTCTAGTTCTTTGAAATCATCATTATGTTGCTTACTTGAAATTTGTCTGTTTAAACCTCCCTTTAGCACTGCTTTTGCTGTATCCCACAAATTCAGTAGGCTGTGTTTCCATTTTCATTTAGTTAAATATATTTTTTAAACTTTCCATCTTAGTTTCTTCATTGGGCCAATGATCTCTTTGAAGAGGACGTCGTTTAATTTCTAAGTATTTGCATAATTTCCAAAGTTCTTGTTACTGATTTCTAGGTTTATTCCATTGTGGAATGAGAAGATACTTGATATAGGTTTGATTTTTTTTTTATATTTGTTGAGACTCATTTGGTGGCATAACATATGATCTATCTTGGAAAATGTTCCATGTACTCATGAGAAAAATGTGCATTCTGCAGTTGTTGGATACAACATTCTGTAAATGTCTGTTAGGTACATTTTCCTTAAAGTCCAAGTTGACTTCAATGTTTCTTTGTTAATTTTCTGTATAGATTGTGCATCAAACGCTGAGAGTGAGGTATTAAAGTCTCCTGTTATTATTGTATTGGAGTCTTTTTTTTAAGATTTAGTAATATTTACTTTTTAAATCTAGATGTTCCAATACTGGCTGCATATATATAAATAAAAATAGAAATAAATAACAAGAAGAATTTGGGAAACTATACAAATATATAGAAATTAACATGCTCTTGAAAGAGATTATTTGGTCAATAAAGAAATTTAGATAAAAATGTTAAAAAATTAATATAAGTGAAAATGGAAACACAACATACCAAAACTTGTGGGATACAGCATAAAAACACATAAAAAGATAAATTTCAATTATGCAGTCTAATGATGCCTCTCAAATAACTAGAAAACAAGAACAAACCAAACCCCAAATTAACAGAAGAAAATCAATAATAATCAGAGGAGATCTGAACAAAATACAGACTAAAAATTGAATTATTATGTCCTTTTGCTGGATTAATCCCTTTATCATTGTATAATTATCTTCTTTGCCTTTTTTTTTACTGTTTTTGACCTATAGTCTGTTATATCTGACATAAATATAGCTATTCCTGTCCACTTTTATTTTCCATTTGCATGGAATATCTTTTTCCACTTCTTTATTTTTAGTCTCTATGTGTCTTTACAGGTAAGGCATATTTCTTGTAAGCAGCATATTGTTGAATTATTTTTTGTTACCCATTCAGCTAGTCTATATCTTTTAAGTGGAGAATTTAACCTTCAAGGGTATTATTGATATAGTAGATTTTTTCATATCATATTGATAATCATTTTCTAGTTGTTTCATATATTCTTTTTTTTTCTTTTCTTTTCTTCTCTTATTGTTTGCCCTTGTGGTTCACTGGTGTCCTGGGGTGGTAACATTTGAGTCTTTTCTCTTCTTAATTTGTGTGTTTACTTTACTAGTGAATTTTATACTAACATGTTATCGATAGTAACCATCATCCTTTTGCTTTTAGAATTAAAACTCCTTTAAATATTTTTTGTCAGGTCAGCCTAGTGGTGATGAATTTCCTCAGGATTTGCATGTCTGGCAAAGTCTTTATTTCACCCTTACTTACAAGCGATAATTTGTCTAAATAAAGTATCCTTTGGTGGCAGATTATTTTTTTTCATTCGGCACTTTGAATATATCATTCCATTTTCTCCTGGCCTGTCAGGTTTCTGCTGAGAAGTCTGCTGTTAGTCTGATTGGAGCTCCTTTATAGGTGACTAGTTGTTTTTCTCTTGCTATTTTTAGAATTTTCTCTTTGTCATTGACCTCAGACGGTTAGACTGTAATGTTCCATGAAAAATACCTTTTTGCAATGTATCTGTTTGCATATCATTGAGCCCATTGTATCTCAATGTCTACATCTCTTGCTACACATGTAAAGTTATTATCTATTATTTCATTAAATATGTTTTTGAAAACCTTCATTTTCTCTTCCTTTCTACCTTTGAAGATACTGATAATTCATATTTTTGATGGCATTATGGTGTCTCATATATCAGGAAGGCTTTGTTAATTTATTTTTTCACTATTTTTGTCTCACTGTGTCATTTCAAAAGATCTTTGCTCAAGTTATGAGATTCTTTCTTCTGCTTCATTTAGCTTATTTTTGAAGATTTTGAGTATACATTGTTCTTTATTCAAGGACTTCTTCAATCCTAGGATTTCTGTTTGGTTCATTTAAATAATATTTTCTTTTTTGGTAAATTTCTAATTTATATTATGAATTGTTTTTCCAATTCCTTTGATTATTTTAAGGAATTATGTTTTATCTTGCTGGGCTTATTTGGTACCATTTTGAATGTTTTTTTTCTGGAATTTTGACAATGTTTTTTTATTGGGTATATTACTGGGGAACTATTGTATTTCTTTCCTAGTATCATATTTTCTTGCTTTATCTGTCTTTATATTGATATCTACACATATGGTGTAATAGTTGCTTCCTCCAATTTTTTGAATTTGCTTTCATGAGAGGGGACATTTTCCCAAAAATGTACCAATAGTGTCAGTTGAGCAGTCCCTTTTGGCTTTGATTCTAGGTGTGTGCAGTTGTGTAGTCTGCCTGTGAGTTTTTTCACTATAAACAACCTCAATGTACCTGTGATTTCTTCAGTGGCCTACAGTGTGGCTATTAATGGAGGCTATGGTAAAATTGTCCTGGGGATGGGGATACCATGTCGGCCAGTCATCAGGCCCTAGTGGTAGCAGTGGAGGGTTGAGTATGCCTGTTCTTGGGCCCCAGGACAGTACACACTGTTACCAATGTTAGCAGCACCAGCCAAGCCAGTTCTTGAGTCTCAAAGAGGCGTCCTCAAATGCTGGTTGTGGCAAGAGAGGGCTGAGTGAATGAAAAGCTACCCTGGTCCCTGGGCAGCTAGTTTGATGTGGGCAACGGCTAGTAGTTATAGGAGGATAGAGTGGGTAATGTGCAGTATGTGCTGGTCTTGGCAGTTGTTACAATGCAGATTGAACACCCAAAGCCCTGGACAAGTAGTTCTCATGCTTGCCCACTCTAAGCAGCAGTGACAGCATGACAGCACCATGTAAAGGTGTGGAATGGCCCCACTCTTTGTGAGTGAGCCCAAGCACAGAGGCCATGCCACCAGTGGGAGGACTATCACTACTCACAACCCCAGGCGGGCAGCAATTTTGCTCATTCACCCCAGTCCTTGGTAGCAGCAGCAGCATCTGTGGCTGCAGCAGTGTGCAGAGAAGAAAAGGGGGTACTTCTCTCTACGGAGGAGACTGAGCACAGAGGCCACTGTGATGGTTGAGGTAGAGTCACTTCCTCCAGCCTCAGAGGGTCAACTTTCAGACTCACCAACCTGGGTTTCTAGTTGCAGCAACTGCTGTGACAGAGTGCCAAGTGGGAGAGGGGATCATACTGTTTGCCTGCCAGTCCAAGCAAAAGTTTGTGCCACTGCTGGGAAAAGAATCTCTTTTCACAGCACCAGAGCTCTTGGGCTCTGGAAAGCATGTGCTTTGGTCATCTTTTGGTGTGCTGCACTGTCCTATTCTCAGGGAGTGGTACTCCCTATTGGCTAGAGTCTTGAGAATCCTGTGACACCTTTGGGTTCAGCCAGCACTGTACCACTGTAGCTCTCTGAGTTTACACCGGGGGATATATGTTGGAGCTCCCAGAATGTGGAGATATGGAGGCTGGGGCTCCCCAGGGCAGGATACAGTCCCATTATGGCTATGCTCTCACAATCGTGCCCTGATCCAACCACTTAGGTGTCTGGGGTGTGAGCGACAAAGAACACATCCCCTGTCTGGTGTAATGCTCTTACAGGGTCTCCAGATTACTGACAATGGTAGTCAGCATTTCTGTGGGTAGCGGAGCTCTCCCTGTTGTTTGGATTGCAACTATTAATGGTGGTGATGTGGACTACTAACATTTCCTCATTTACTCTTTACCTGCAATAGCAAGCTCCTCTAGGCTTCAGCCAATGTCAGCTGAGCTGGCTACTGACATCCATCTTTTTCTGTGCTTCAGGTGTTTCCCATGACTTCTCTGTTGGACTCTAGTGTTCCTCTCCTAGATGCTTTATTTGTAGCATAATTGTCTATTCATAATTTGGTCCTTTGTTTTCTGGAAAACATAGATGTCTAATGTCTCTAGTCAGGTATTTTGAACCAGAATAAATATTGCATTTTTAAAAATGGAAGATCTATGTCACTCCTGCATCAAACAATGTTATTGGCACCATACTTCTAACAGCATGTGATCACTATGTCTCTGTGTCATGTTTTAGTAATTCTTGAAATATATTAAACATTTTTCATTATTATTAAATCTGTCATAATGACCTGTGTGTGCAGTAGTGTACTCAGTGATCTTTAATATTATTATTATTATAATTGTTTGCAGGCACCATGAACTGCACTCATATAAGACAGTGAACTTAATAAATGAATGTGTTACGACTGCTCCATCAACCCACCACTCCCATTTCACTTTCCCTCTTTTTAGTCTTCCCTCTTCTCTGAGAGACAAGAATATTAAAATTAGGCCAAGTAATGACTCTAAAATGGCTTCTAAGTGTTCTGGTGGGAAAAAAACAGTAACATATCTCTCACTTTAAATAAGAAACTAGAAATGACTAAACTTACTGTGGAAGAAATATGCAAAGATGTGATAGGCTGAAAGCTGTGCTTCATGCAACAAACAGTTAATCAATTTGTGAGTGCAAGGGAAAAGTTATTGAAGAAAATTAAAAGTGCTACTGTAGTGAATTCACACATGATGAAAAGGCAAAACAGCCTTATTGCTGATGTGAAGAAAGTTTTAGTAATCTAGATAGATCAAACTAGCTATAACATTCCTTTAAGCCAAAGCCTAATTCAGAAAAAGGCCATAACTCTCTTTAATCTTATAAAAGGCGAGGAAGCTGCAGAAGAAAAAGTTTGAAGCTAGCAGAGTTTGATTCTTGAGATTTAAGGAAAGAAGCCGTCTCTGTAAGGCAAAACAGTAAGGGCTGATGTGAAAGCTGCAGCACATTATTCAGAGGATCTAGCTAAAATAATTGATGAAGGTGGTGACACTAAACAACAGATTTTCAGTACAGACAAAATAGGGTTATATTGATAGAAGATGCTATAAAGGACTTTCATCGCTAGGGAGGAGAAGTCAGTGTCTGGCTTCAAATCTTCAAAAGGCAGGCTGAATCTCTTGTTATGGCCTAATGCAGCTAGTGACTTTAAGTTGAAGCTGAATCTAATTTGCCATTCTGGAAATCCTTGGGTCTTTAAGAATTATGCTAAATCTACTAAGGCTGTGCTCTATACATGGAACAATGAAGCCTGGGTGAAAGCCCACCTATTTACAGAATCGTGTATTAAATATTTTAAACCCAATTTTATGATCTATGGCTCAGAAATAAGATTTCTTTCAAAATATTACTACTTATTAACTATGCACCTGGTCACCCAAGATCTATGATGGACGTGTCCATGGAGATTAATGTTGCTTTTATGCCTGCAAACCCAACATCAATTCTTTAGCTCATGGATTAAGGAGTAATTTAAGCTTTCAAATCTTATTATTTAAGAGATATATTTTGTAAGGCTCTAGCTGCCATAGATGTTGATTCCTCTGATGGACCGGGGCAAAGTACATTGAAAACCTTCTGTAAAGAATTTACCCTTCTAGGTGCCGTTAAGAACATTTGTGATTAATGAGGGGAGGTAGAAACATCAACATTAACAGGAATTTAGAAGATATAGATTCCAACCCTCCTGGATGATTCTGAGAAGTTTGAGCCTTCAGTGGAGAAATTAACTTCAGATGTGGAGGAAATAGCAAAAGAACTAGAAGTGGAGCCTGTAGATGTGATTGTATTGCTATAATCTCACGAAAAAACTTGAACAGATGAGATGTTGCTTCTGATGGGAGAGTAAGGAAAGTGGTTTCTTGAGATAAAATCTACTTTTGGTGAAGAAACTGAACATGTTGAAATGACAAAAAGTTTTAGAATGTTATATAAACTTAGTTTATAAATCTGCAGCATAGTTTGAGAGAGCATTTACTTCAATTTTGAAAAATATTCTATGGGTAGAATGCTATGAAACAGCATTGCATGCTACAGAGAAATCTTTCATAAGAAGAAGAGTTAATTGATGTTGCAAACTTCATTGTTGTTTTATTTTTAAAAATTGCCACAGCCACCTGACTTTAAGCAATCACCACCTTGAACAGTAAGCAGCCATCAACATCAAGACAAGACCTTGGACCAGCAAAAAAAATTATGACTCACTGAAGGCTCAGATGATCATTAACATTTTTTAGCAACAAAGCATTTATAATTAAAGTATATACATTTTTAGACACATGCTGTTGCATACTTAATAGACTAATGTATAGTACAAACATAACTTGTATATGCATTGGGAAACCAAAAAAATGTACATGGCCTACTTTATTGTGATATTTGCTTTATTGTGTTGGTCTGGAACATGACCAAAGGTGAAGAGTAGCCTGCATGTACGGAGATCACACGGCAGGAGAGGAAGACAGAGAGAGAGGGAAGGGAGGTGCCAGGCACTGTTAAACAATCAGCTCTCACCAAACCTGCAATATCTCCTAGGTATGCCTGTGTCTTTGTTCTGTCAGAGTGATTGTTCTAAAACAAATATCTGAATTTCAGCTGTGTGGTAGATTGAATGCAGCATAGGTCAGTGGTTCTCAAAGTGTGATCCAGGACTGCTAGTCATTCACAACATAAATTCAATGAATCTGTAAGGTCAAAACTATTTTCTGCTACCACTGGCATACTTAGTCATTGGCCAAGAGCAGCCTAAGGAATGCAAAATTTTAGCACAATGTAAATGGTGAATCCAGAGGTGTGGCAGCATGGAATGTCAGTCAACTGTGCTCCCTGGAGCTGGCCATCTGAGTAAGAGATTTCCATGGCCACTACTGTAGGGGTGGGAGAGTATGCATGTGCTAAAGACCAGTGGGGTGCCCTTAGTGTGTGGTGATGATGGTGGTGGTAAGTGAACAATAGGCTCATCTTCCATAGTAAGTAGTCATTACATTACATACAGCGCTGAAAATCAAGGAATAATAGTATAAGCATGTTATTATGAAACCTAGTAGTAAATACCACAATAAATAACTAAAATAATTTTAGTGACCACCTACAACAAGTTTTTTAAAACATGTATGCCTATAACTTTGATATAGAATAAACAACATATTTGGACAGGTCACTTACAAGTGGAAACCTCTTCAGTGAATTCCCATTACCTTGAGAATAAAATCTGAACATATTGAAGGCAATGCATGGTGATCTATTTCCTACCTCCCTTTTGAGACATTTCTGGTATTTGCTCTTCTATTGTCTAAACTCCAGCCACTCTGGAATCACCTAACCCTCAAAACACACATTTTTTGGTAACATTAGGATTTTGGACATATGGATTTTTTGTGCTGAACTGTAGTACATAAAACCAAAAGGAAGTTTTCTAATTGACAGAGGAGATTCAGTATTTTGAATCCACCAAACTTGATTTGAATCCACCAAAACTTGATTACCTTAGTACTTGTCCATACAAATGTAAAGCTCTATCACACATTATTTGTAGAACTCCTGTGCTTAGGCACCTAGCAGTGTCTGAGAATTCAAAGAATGTGCACTAAATAGATTACCTAGAACAATCCTGGAACATACTGAAGCAGAGCTTTGGAAACCCAAAAACATAATGCTTTGGCCTTTCTACTGAGTAATTGAACTCTTAGAATATTTTCTTTATGTTCTTCCTATTGTACCACTATTGTCTTAATCTGTTTCTGTTGCTATAAAAGAATACCTGATACTTGGTAATTTATATAGAAAATATATTTATTTGGCTAATGGTTCTGCAGGCTATACAAGAAGTATGGGGACCGCATATGCTTCTGGTGAGTGGTGCAGGCTGCTTCCACTCATGACAGAAAGCGAAGAGGAGGCTGCAGGTGCAGAGATCACATAGCAGGAGAGGGATATAGAGAGAGTGGGGAGGGAGGTGCCAGGCTCTATTAAACAATCAGCTCTCACGCGAACTAATAGAGAGAGAACTCAGTCATTACAGTATGGAGAGCACGAAGCCATTCATGAGGAATCAGCCACCATGACCCAACCACCTTTCACTACGCCCCACCCCCAACACTGGGGATCAGGTTGCAACATGAGTTTTGGAGTATCCAAACCACAGCAATTACCTATAAAATAAGGTAGATACTTAGATGCTCCCTTACCATCCTTCAAGTTCTAAAATGTTTGAGTCTATGA
This sequence comes from Homo sapiens, assembly GCF_000001405.40. Classification (NCBI taxonomy): domain Eukaryota; kingdom Metazoa; phylum Chordata; class Mammalia; order Primates; family Hominidae; genus Homo; species Homo sapiens. The sequence goes on along the minus strand of NC_000024.10, from coordinate 6,551,689 downwards.
ATGTCCAAACTATGTAAAATTAAACACCTCAAATGGGTACGAAATTTTATTTTCCTTCTTGTAATGGCTGCAGAGAGATCCATTCACTTAGTAAGCATTATTTAATACTTTATGATGTTAATTGAACTTTACTAGGTACTAGGGATATGATGTAAATGAGGTGAGAACACAAGGAACTCGCCAAAGAGAAGCTTAAGATAGATCGAGAAAGAATGACAAAAGGTTGCAAATATATAGACAGATTAAGCACTCATGTTCATATATATATATAGTTTGTTTGTTTGAGCCGGAGTTTCGCTCTTGTTGCCTAGGCTCGAGTGCAATGGCGCGATCTTGGCTCACTGCAATCTCCGCCTTCTGGGTTCAAGCGATTCTCCTGCCCCAGCCTCCCAAGTAGCTGAGATTACAGGCAGAAGCCACCAGGCCCAGCTAATCTTTTGTATTTTTAGTAGAGATGGGTTTCACCATCTTGGCCAGGCTGGTCTCGAATTCCTGACCCTCAAGTGATTCACCTGCCTCAGCCTCCCAAAGTGCTGGGATTACAGGCATGAGCCACTGTGCCCAGCCTCATGTTCATATTTTAATCAAACCACAGGCATCATTGTTCTCTCAAGTATAAAAACAATGCCAAAAGAAAACACAAACATGCACACACACACACACACACACACACACACACACACATGATTATCAATATAATATTAAAACATCTGGGTTTTTATGAAGGCTTGTTTGAACAGGGAGCAATGTGCCAGGGAACATATTAGGTGAAGTGATCTTTATAAGCAAAGTCATTGTTGTAAAATAAAAAGCAGTGCCTATGAGATGGAAAGGATCATGGTCAACTGAAAGAGAAGAGGTATGCTTAGAAGTAACAAGGAATGTTATTATGGAATGAGTGAAGAAGATAGGAAGCAGAGGAATGAGAGCATTTGATTGAAGGACAGCTTTAGATGTCCAGATTAGTAGGTGAGCTTTGACCTTACTATCAAAAAGGTAATCTCTCTAATTTTGTCCATCAAAGAAACCAGTTAGGTTTTTGCAACAATGCAGGGACAAGTTTAAGTGGAAATGGCATAGAAATGGAGAGCAAAGAAGAAACCAAATCGCATTTCAAGGAAAGAATTATTTTACTCAGTAAGTGATTTAATACAGTAAAAGAGAAAAATTAACAATTTTGCAAGGAGGTGTTCTCTGAAATCAAGAGGAAGATAGTACCAATGAGTACCAATGATTACATTCGGGGGTTTAAAAGGGGCCAGATTGGTAGAAAGGATGAAGAGGTAAGATCATTAAGCTAATTTTCAGGGTTTAACAGAGCCACTAGTCTTTTTTTTTTTCATCCTGGGAACAGCTAAGTGAAGATAGAAACATAAGTAAACATCTACACACTCCACTGATCTTAAGAGTTAATTAATTTAAAAAGACACATTATGGGCTGGGCACGGTGGCTCACGCCTGTAATCCCACCACTTTGGGAGGTCGACGTGGGTAGATCACGAGGTCAGGAGACCGAGACCATCCTGGCTAACATGGTGAAACCCTGTGTTTACTAAAAATACAAAAAATTAGCCGGGCGTGGTAGCAGGCGCCTGTAGTCTCAGCTACTTGGAGGCTGAGGCAGAAGAATGGCGTGAACCCAGGAGGTGGAGGTTGCAGTGAGCTGAGATCGTGCCACTGCACTCCAACCTGGGCAACAGAGCGAGACTCCATCTCAAAAAAAAAAAAGTAAAAAAGGAAAGAGAAGACACATTATGTTCTTACTAAACCTAACAGTATTGAGCTTCAATTATTTTTGTATCTAATGTTCAACCATCTTCAAACTGCTTAATAAACTGCAAACATGGCAAGTGCTGCCTAGAGACCTCACTAAACTTTCAATATAGGAATTAGTTATTGTACAAATACTATTATACAGTTTCAGGTTACCATTTTAAAAAGAAGATTTTTATTTAGAATGAAATCTTCTATCATATTATTTGTCTTGGCTTTGGGGCTGTGTCTGAGAAAGGATGAAGTACAAATTTTTTTTTAAATATGCATACAAATTTTTAACAGTTTTATATTTCTTATCTTTTCCCTGAACACACTGATGAAGTCTATTTACACTTATATCAAAGGTTGACTTTGAGGAATGAGGGCATTCATATTAAAGAAAACAAAAATTATGGCATGACATATTCACACAATAAAGTTATTTTAGAAAATCATGGATATTATACTATATGAATTAGATGAAAACAATCCTCCAAACAGCCTTATTATTTCAGATATTTGGATCTAGTTTTTGGATACATCAAAAAAAAAAAAGTTAAATCTTTAACTTCCATGTTTTATTTTAAAATATTAAAATAACAAAATAAAATGGGGTTATTCATCTCAAATAGTCTTTCAGACTGAGTTGCAATGTGGTATCCCTATTTATAGAACTAAATTATTTGCTGATATCTTGCTCTCACTCTGCAAAAACTATTCTCAGTATTCTCTTATTTTGTTCATTAATAAATCTACATGCAGGAATAACCAGCATTCAGTTCATTTACCTAAAATGAACTTAAAAACCACAGTATTTGTCTCCTCCTTTCAGTACACTTGAATTTCTGATATTACTATTATTCAAAGTCTGTGAACCTGCCTACTTTGAACTAAAACAGTAAAACACACTACATCTACATTAACTAAAAGGAAAAATAAAAGCTCACTTGTGGTATGCATGTTTTCTTCATAATGTATTCATTTAAATGCAGATGACCCAAAATAATAAAAAATGTCTTCCCCTAGATAGTCACGTATATTACAATGATGGAGTGATTAAGACGTTGCAATTTGGGCCTCATTGGGTCAAGATTTTGGTTTCAAATCTGTTATCAAATTTTTGTCTTTAGAGCTGTGTTTACATTAAAATTATTAGTTGCAAAGGACTTTACCTGACTTAGAGTTTCACAGAATAAAGAAGAAACTGAGTATGTTTAGTAGTTATGGATGCAAGTCTAACAATTGATAGAATTTAACCTATACTTCCCCTTAAATACATAGAAGGTAACTGAATTGCAAAAAAAGGACCCCGAGAAAATCTGACTTTATAAAAGAATAATGAGGACCAGTCACTGGGAATAGCCTTTAATGTAACGTTGGAAAAGCAGCAGTGGTGTTTAAAGTCTAAAGCATAGAACCTTCTGATATCTTTTTTAACACACAGTAATTTTAGCCAGTATATAGAAATCTATAGTTTCTTCATTTTTTATATTGTTCCAAAAGCAACAACTAGCTTTATTAAACAGTAAATATTTTTATATCAATTGAAAACAGTCACCATATATAAATCAATATGCTATTTTACTCAGACATGTTAGGAATCTAACTGTGATGTGAACCAATATCTTCTGTGTGATGTCTCTGTATTAAAAATAATAATGTATATATGCATATTAAGAAGAGGAAATTCACCTTTAAGGATACGTTTATAGGAGGTATACAATTCAGGATAAATGTTAATAACATTGAATACCTTGTTTTCAGCTGTTTAATGTTATCTATAGTTGATATTAATGATTGCAGCTTTGTGTGTTTCTTGTATCTTTGATCTTTATTATTGGTTAAATAAATTCATCTGGGGGTCAGCCTTTTAGCTCAGAGAACCTTTCTATCTCACTGTTTCTGTGTGTATTTTAAGATCACAGAAGCAAATATAATTGGCAGTAGATTAGGTTCAATTTTATAATCTATATTTTTCTACAAATGCATCTTAGTATAATATTTGTGACACAAAGTGTATAAAAATAAAAACTTAAATTTTAAAATTATCTTTTAGAGATAACATGAGAAAGATTTTGAGGTGATGGTAGTATTCTGTATGTTGATTGTGATGATTGTTATACAATCTGTGAATGTTTGTCAAAGAAAAGCTAGAGCTGGATAGCAGTTAAAGCAGTAGAACATATTTTACCCAAAAACTACTGCAATAAGGGGGAAAAATATCTCAGAATAGAACTGAAATCAATTCTAAATACAATAAAGAAAAGTGGAAATTTACAGTCAAGAATGTAGGGGAGAAGGTGTAGTTGGAGAGAAATTACTAATCGAAGACATCAGGGATAAGGGAGGATTCTGGCTAAACCTACCTAACATGATTCTTGGTGAGGTCAGACCAGCCATCAGATATCATTTGGAGGATTGCTAGGGATGAGGAACACAATCAGATGTAGAGTAGGGGATTCTGGCTAAACTGGCTTATCACGGTTTTGGCTAAAATTGGGCAATGCAGAGAAGAACATGAAAACCCAGGAATCAAATCTTAGTTGGGAGGACAATTCAGAGAAGCTTGAATGGAGTTTTGTCAAGGAGACTCTTATTGAATATCAATCAAAATTTAATGTGCAATAATTTTAAAAATAAAATAATTTTTGAAAACCTATTTTATGACTTTTATGTTATTTGTTTGTTTTATTTATTTATTTTGAGACAATCTCACTCTGTCACTCAGGCTGGAGTTCATTTTTTTATTTTTAAAGGAATATATATTAAAGCAACTTTACAAGTTCAGATTTATAGGGAATTAAGTGCTCACATTAGTTCAATAGTTTAATATTGTGATATACTTATGAATAGCTAGAAAATATACCTATACAAATTTTTTATGGCTCTTGTATTTCTTGAACAAACATGACTAATTTTGCTTTGATAATTTATATTATCAAATAATTTCCCTGTTATTTATTCTTTTTCTAAAAAGTCAACTGAATAGCCAAGATAAATAGTAACTTTCTAATTGTTTCTAGCCCCGTAATCCCAAATATCATATAATGTATTTTACACACACACGTACATGTGTGCATACACATGTATATATGTATATCTATATACATACAATATAGAATATAATTTCATAATGTCTGAAATGTTTAGAAAACAGAAATAAAGCATGCTGTTAGTTGAAGGACAAGTAAAAAAATTCAATTTATCTCTAAACAGAAAAGACATAGTTGAAAAACAAATATTTTAGTAGTAAAATAGCATAGTTGGTTGGCTGGTGAAGAAACAAATGTACAACAATCACTAACTTTTCTACGTATCAGAAATAATCGGTAGAAATATTAAGTAGGGACACAGCACATTAGTATAAGAACAAAATATATTATCTAACTAGATAGCATCTTAAATAAAAATACTTAAAACCTAGTTGAGGAAAATTCAAAATTAATTTGTAATTTGGAGACATGAATACATTTTAGACATTTAAAAATGTTAACTATGTAAAGATATGCCATATTTATTAACTGAGAATTAGTTAAAACTCTTACCGTAAGAAATGTTAGAAACACAATTTCAAAAAGTTAAGCAAAAAGTGGAATCTGTTGGTTTAATATCCAAACTACATGATGGAAAGAAGTGAAACTAGTCTCAGAAATTATAGGAACTATGGATTTAAATGCCATCAGGACTCTGATTATCTTAATGTGCTTTGTCTCTGCCGGTTAGCAGCAATGGGATTGCCAATGGCACCTGACTCACAACCTTACAGGTCCAGAAACAAGGGAGGAAAGATATTTTCAGCACCATATCTATGAAATAGATTTTTAGTTTATAAAATGAGTGGAAATAGGGCCAGGCACGGTGACTCACGCCTGTAATCCCAGCACTTTGGGAGGCCGAGGCGTACGGATCACGAGGTCAGAAGACCGAGGCCATCCTGGCTAACGTGGTGAAACCCTGTCTCTACTAAAAACATAAAAAAAAATTAGCCAGGCATGGTGGCGGGCGGGAGGCTGAGGCAGGAGGAGAATGGCGTGAACCCCGGAGGCGGAGCTTGTAGCGAGCAGACATAGTGCCACTGCATTCCAGCCTGGGCCACAGACTGTCTCAAAAAAAAAAAAAAGTAGAAATCTGTTTGAACCACATTAATAAGTACTTTATGAACTACCACTGAGACAGGATGGTTGATTAACATTAAAAAATGGAAAATGCCATTCAAACTGAAAGTATAGGCTGGGGGAAGAGAGGGGAAGGTTACCAAAATAAAGAAGCAAAACATTTATGGTTACTAGGAAAATTGTGGAAAGTTGGACAACAACCCCAGATTCTGATTTTTGTATAGCGAAAGATTGCATATTGCAAGTATGTTAATACTTTAAAATCAACAAGTTTAGTGCAATTTCAATAGGATTTTTGTTGGTAGTATGGCAGTAAGGAGGGAATTTTAATATAATTTTTCTTGAAGAGGGTGTGGCAGTGAGGAGAGAATTTAGAAAAAAAAAGATCCTATAAGATATTTGGAGGAATAACTATGGAATATAATCTTTTGTGTCTACATCAGATCATTGTGTTTTCGGATACTAAGACATGTGGGAAACTAATATATGACAAATTCAGTGGCTGAATTTAACAACGAAAGATAAACTATTTTATGCATTTTAATAGCATATATGCTTCTTTAATCTAGAAATAAATGAAAATGAGACTCTATCTTATAGAGGAAACAAAAATAATCTCCAGATGTACTAAAGTTTAAAATGTAAATATTAAAAAATCTTGCAGGAAAATCTAAAAGCCTACACGTAAAATTGAAGGGTGTTGGAGTCTTCCCTAACCAAGATAAAAAAATGTAAAGTTAAAAGGATACATCTTTGAATTTTATTTTTTAAAGAAAACAGTCTTTTGAGGCAGACTTGTCTCCTAAGGCATAACTTTATTTTGGCCTGTGAGCTCTTATTCACCTGGGGATACTGGCTACTCAGATTGTGCTAATTTTTCAGGGCCAAAAGAACTACTTCCAGAGAGGAGGTGAACAAGTTCTACTGTGAAAAGCCCAGGGGCCATAGAACCATAGTTAATCATTCACTTAACCAAACAACTCTTCAGGTCTGTGTTTCAATTTTAAATCCTCAGAAGACCATAGTAGACCACTAACTGGGGGAATGGAAAAAGAGAGTGGAGGCGGGTAAATAACACTCCAGTTAGTAGCAATCCTTCACCCCAGCAGTGTTTTATACACTGCTCTGATATTAGAATTATTTACACTTGCATTAGCAGTGTGGAAATAAATGAAGACCAAATGAAAACAAACAAAGGCTGTTTATTTAGAACTTGCTACAGTAAGGAAGTCAACCAACATCACTTGATTTTGGCAGACTCAGAGATATGCAGGGAAGTGGAAAAACTATGATAGAAAAAGGGAAAGTATCAATTATGTTCTGATTGGAGGTTGTTGGCATGAAAAAGCTAGAGGCATGCTAACTAGAAGTGGGGAATCTTAGGTGATTGATTGGTTTGGGGAGCATATTCAGCTTTCTCTTATTAGTCCCTAGTCCAAAGCTGGGAATAAAAAATAGGGAAGCTTGCAGTCGCTGATCAAGTCCTGACTATTCTGGGATGATTGCTGTGTAAGTGGTTTGACTTCCTGGGCTGCTTTCAGTAGAGGCTATAGGTCAGAGTTCTGTTTTCACACATGATCTGGGATAGTCCATTTGTCTATTCAGTCAGTGGTCTGAGTTATTGCCTCAGGATTACTGTAGTGAAGAAGCAGATATTAATTGTTACAAAGGAAATGGCAAGGAGAATGGAAAAACAAAATTCAACAGTTTTTTCAAAAATTTGTTCGTTTTCACATTCCACTCTGAATGAGAATCATCTGATAGGCTTGTTCTAACAGTTTACTGGCCACCACAGCCAGGTGTTCCGATCCAGTAAATCCAAGGCGGGGCCCCCATATTTGCATTTTTAACAATTTCCCAAGTGACATTGATGCTGGTTGTCTGGAATCACACTTAGAGAACCACTACTCAAATTTATTATTTCAGAGTTGAACCTGATGCCTCTTGCTATAGACTATAGACACGTACCCTTTCTCCTGCAGAAAGTTAAAACAGTCTTTTGACATCCAGGGATTTTTCTCCTTGTTGTTGCAGATTTCTCTACTCTATATTCTTTCTATAATTTGCCAGAGTTTATATTTTGGGAGGAGAGAACCAAGAACTCAGGTTAGTAATTATTTTGTCAGAAACCAAAACTACTCTAGAGAGACAAAAAGTTACTTCTGTAATGCATACATAGTTCTTTTAAATTGAAGAGGAAAAAATGTAAAAATCCCAATAGAAAAGAATGGGAAATAGATGACTAGACACTTCAGAGATGATCAACCCAAAATGGTAAACATTCCACATGAAAAACATTTTAAATTTACTAAGTCAAGGAAATCACAATTAAAGTGATTAAGAGCTATCATATTAGTCTGTTCCAATATAAAATAGTAACACATTTAATATTGGCAGATATGTAGGGGTCTTTGTATTTTAACACCCTGATGAAAAAGTGTGAAGATTTGGATGCCAATTTGTAAGAGTGTATATACAAAGATATTTATTGCAGCATTTTTTTGTAGGGTCCAAGAACTGAAAATAAAGTGACTATCATTCTAAGGTAACTGTATAAAATAAAATTAAGGGGTGAAAAGAGTTCAGATACAAAGAGACTTGAATTTTTTTATAATTGCTTTATTTTTGAAATAAAAATAAATAACACCTTTAATTCTTAAATTAATCTGGGATGTATTGTGTTTATACTATTAGTTTTTATTTTCTCTAAAATGTATTTATGAAACCAACTTGATTGCATATACTAAATTTTCAGTTCAAATATCTGATAAGAGATGTCCCCAGGGCTTTTTAATAACGTATACCTTGTAATCATAGAAAAAATGGAAAAAACAAGGTTATTTTGATAAATTTTATTTATTTATTTTTATTATTTATTTATTTATTTATTTATTTATTTATTTATTTATTTTTTAGATGGAGTCTTGCTGTCACCCAGGCTGGAGTGCAGCAGCACGATCTTGGTTCACTGCAATCTCCACCTCCCGGATTCCTGTGATTCTCCTGCCTCAGCCTCTCGAATAGCTGGGATTACAGGCATGCACCACCACCACCTGGCTAATTTTTGTATTTTTAGTAGAGACAGGGATTCACCATGTTGGCCAGGCTGGTCTCGAACTCCTGACCTCAGGTGATCCGCAGGTCTCGGCCTCCCAAAGTGCTGGCATTACAGGCGTGAACCACCATGCCTGGTCAATTTTGATAAGTTTTAGTAACTGAAAATGTATAAGTTTTATGTCAGAAATCACTGTGAACTGAAAGCCAGTAAATCAATAAAGTGAAAATTCATATATTTTAAAATTATATGTCTTTGTTGGCCATTATATAAAGCATTTTCTGATCACTTACTAATTTACCTATTTAAAAAATACTTATTGAGCAGCTATTACCTGCCAGTCATTATTCCAAAAGTTGGGGAAACGGTATTGAACAAAATAGAAAAATAAAATTTCTGTTCAAAATATAGTGAAGAGACACAAACAAACAAATATATTTGTAATATATAAGTCAGAAAGTGATAAATATTAAGAAGAGCAATAATACCTGAAAAGACAGTAAGAGGTACTCTGAGGTGGTTATACCTGGGAGAGGAAGAGATTGCAGTTTTAAATACAATGGTCAGGGAAGATTACACTAAATAGGTGACATTTTGAGGAAACCTCTGAAGGAAAAAAATGTTTTATGTCCTATGCCTATGCAAGATATCTTAAAACGTTTTTAAAGTTATTTTTCACTCCATAAACACATAGCACATTGGTAAATGATCATCTGAGGCATTTATGTGTCTATCTCACCCAGTATGCAGAATGTTACTTTTTTTCTGATATAGTGTATTAGTCTGTTCTCATGCTGCTGATAAAGACATACCAAAGACTGGGTAATTTATAAAGAAAAGAGGTTTAATGGACTCACAGTTCTGCATGGCTGGGGAGGCCTCACAATCATAGCAAAAGGCAAAGGAGAAGCAAATACATGGCTTTACAGGGCAGCTGGCACAAGCACATGCAGGGGAACTACCCTTTATAAAACCATCAGATCTCATGAGACTTATTCAGCATCACAAGAACAGCACAGGAAAAATCTACTCCCATGATTCAATTACCTCCTACTGGGTCCCTCCCATGACACATGGGGATTATGGGAGCTACAACTCAAGATGAGATTTGGGTGGGGACACAGTCAAGCCATATCATATAGGGAGGACTTCTTTCAAGTGGGAATTTCATCTTCTGCTTTTAAGAAACAAAAGGGAGAAGGAAGATCAGAGCATTTTTCTTGAATCTGCTGTTTTTTAAGTGCCTTTAACTGAAATTGCCAATATGCGAGAGTGGAATATTTTGGGATGTTGTATTCTGTCATGAAGTAGGTTGTACCTGTATTATTAACTATATTTTATACATTTTATAAAGTTCTAAATTGAATACATTGAACATTTAAGAGATTAATGACTTGGCCAATGTTAAAAACATAGAAAGTCAAAGAGCTTGAAATTTGAATGATCAGAATTAGAAATAACTGACCCTAAATTGTGTGCTATTTCCAATAATGCCAAAAAATGTGATTGTATTATTTGTCTAAATGAAGGAAGTGTATAACTAGCTAAACTACTTCTTAAACACTTATTTAATTTATATTCAAATCATTAAATAAAACTGTCAGTGTATTTATCCAGAGAATTTTTCTCCCTTTGCACTGTCTGAGAGAAATGAAGGGATTTTTCCTTATTTTATTCCTTCAGCCTTTCAATACAGAAAGGAAGTTTTTATAGAAAACAATTTGCCTGAGAATATGATCTGAGGCCAAAAACTTTGCTGAAGGCACTGTAGGAGTGAGACCTCAGCCTAAAACATGTAATTTTGAATGCGCTTTTACTAGCCTTGTGTACATAAAAAGTTCTCGAAGCTAATAGTGAATATGTACGTAATCTTGTCAATGATGTTCTGTAGAAAAAACAGCATATATTAGCAACTACATTATATACGGTCATTTAAAGTGGGTAATTAAATTATTATAACAATTATTGTTTCACATGTAACTTCTGATGTCAAAATACAATGCTTTCAACTGAAAGAGAAAACTCAATAGCTATTATATTAACAATCATTGCTTACACAGAAAAAGCATCTCTTAGTTTTATACTTATTACAAGATCAGAAATATGAAGTTTTTGAAGCTTTGAAGAATTTTTAAAAATTTTATTAGAATTATCTCAATTAGGAGGTTTTAAATTTAATGGGTGGACATATTTTTACAATTGCAGTAGAATGGCTAACACATTTCTTAAAGTATACAATGTAATTAAAAGTTACTTTACCCAATTCGTAACGTAGATAAAATTCCAAATTTTGATGCCATATTTTTGCAATAAATAAAGTGTCATAAATCAACATAATAAATTATAGAATATAATGCCACAAATTATTTTATTTTTTCTGCATTAATTTGACATGTTTGATCATCAGCTGATGATATCCAGATGATCAGTCCTGCCATGCTTTTGATAGATAAGAAAGACAACTCCAATTCTAAATCTAGCTAAATCAAGTTCATTTATCCCTGTCATTCAATTGATGTAAGAGGAGGAAAAGTCTGAATTAAATCCAATTTTCTGACTTAAAAGTTATTTTATGACTCACATCCACCTCTTCTCACAGCAAGTGAATTGGTTGTTAGTCATAATGATCTTTTTAAATATAACAACTTGAAAGAGTTGAACTTTTTAAACCAACTTCATAGTTGATTCCCAAGTATTGTCTGTCCAATGGAGAAATTAAGAAAATTTAGGCATCCTGTACAAGGGTAAAGATTGTTCACTGTCTGACTTGTGAATTATGGCCTTGAAATCAATTCCAATAAATGCTACTTACATTTAACTAACCATTTCAGGAACAAGAATGCTGCCTGTTCTCCCATAGCCTTATACGCCTCAAAAACATTTTATCTAAAGAAAGTATATGTTGAAGGAAATTGAAGTGTTTTTACCTAACCCCGTTTCCTCAGTTACCTAATCTGCACATTGAAGATAATAACAGTAACTAACACACCTGTAAACAACTTAAAATTGTGCCTAATGCAGAGTCCGCATTCAATAAATGCTAGTATGGAATATATTGCAGTCTAGGACAACACAGCAGTTACAAGAAATCCTAGATTCTTCTCACAGTTTGTATGACTAGACCAGAGAGGTGTATCTTGGGGGCATATTCAATTAATACAACAGGAAAATATTTTCAATAGTGACTACATTTTCAATCAAAATGGGAAATACATAGCACACTGTCATCACTAGCCACCCACCCAACTATCTATGTTCATGTAACTTTTCTCCATTTAAAGAAGACATAATCTCCAACTCTTATCTCAATGTAGCATGCCACTACCATCTATATGAATATGGAACACAAAATGAAATCTATTTTCCATCTTTGACTTAAATGATCACATGGTAGTATGGAAAATGAAACCCACAAAAAGAAAGCCAGATATCTAGGTAGCAAATATTAATGATCCATTAGTAAATGTTATTAATGATTTATTAATAATGTATTCATTACAAGATTCCCTCCCAACAAACACTAATATAAATGTTTTAAAGCCTGTGGGAAGAGAGACACTTCAGGTTGAACAAAACAAGGAAAAAGAGAAGATAAGAGAGAGAAAACTAGCAATAGATTACTAAGGGGTGTCGAAGAGAAGCCACATACAAAAATTCTCTGGAACAGAGTATGGCACTCCTTTGGGATGTTTTAAATGTTGTTTCAACTGGATTGAGATTAAGTGTCTAGTAGTAAATATTTCAAAAGGAAACACAGTTTATTACCTAGGAAAATATTCTGGTTGTGTTTTCTTATGGCATAAAATTATTATCTTACCACTGTGACCAGCAATTGTCTATTTCATGTTGGTTTGTTTTTGTTTTATTTTTCATATGAGTTTTCTGAGATCTAGTGCATGATTGCAGGCTAAAACATGAATCGGAAAAATGTTAATGTAATTGGCATAAAATGTTCAATGTAATGTGCAGGAAAATTGTATTCTGCAATAGTTTTTTTGTCTTAAAAGTTATGCAATATAAACTATTTTAAATTCATCCTTACCAAGTTATGCAAAGTGTTTTCCTGTATTCATTCACCTTTTAGGGTATTTTTAGCTTTCTTTGTTTCATGCTGTTTCGCAATCATTATTCTAACTTAAAGTTTTGTGAATATCAGCTTGAAAAGAATGAAAAATGTTGGGAAATGGTGCATGGAAGGCTGATACAGAGGGAAAAAGTCCATTTCATATTTTTGAATCAAAGAATTATAGTGGTCTACTTTATACTAGATTTTAATTTCTATTATGTGACATTTCCAATGGAAATGTAATCTTTATAAGATAACAATAGTTTTGTTTGGTCTTATGCTTTAGAAAAGAGAATTGCATTGGAGTTAAGCAGACCTGGATAAAAATCTAAACTCTGGCACTGAAAAGCTCAATGATATGGATAAGTTATTAACTTTCTTTGAGCAACATAATTGTAAGGAAGGTATAATAATTATAATTTTTTTCCCATATGAAAATGTGGTTTTCATATTTATATAAGATATGGCACATAAAACATTTTATAAACATTCCTCCTCTTTTGAAATCAGATTTCAGAAGGAAACAGAATCTAGGGAACTCCACAGATGATAACAGGTGAAATGCTAACATATGCAAAATTAGGGAAATACAACCTATATACAAGCAAGACAGAGCTTTAAAATCCTTTTGTTTGATGATTCTGTTTGCTGGGAAAATGTAAACCTGACTCACAGTGTGTCTCTATTACAGATGTATGGGCAAATAAATGGGCTAAGAAAGAAAAAAAAAAGAAAATATTGGCTGGTTATTATCAGGGTTGTGTGGAGTAAGTTTGTTTCATGTTTGTTTGGCATTAAAACAGAATGCCCAAATCTGCCTGGGTAAAATTTCCATGAAATTCAATAAACATTTATTAAATATATAAATATATATTTAATGATAAATATAAATATAATATATACGTCGGTATTTAACGATAAATATAAATATAATATATACGTCGGTATTTAAAGACACCTATAAATATATACGTCGTTATTTTACGACACCTATAAATATAATATACACATCGGTGTTTTACAACACCTACAAATATAATCTATACGTCGGTATTTTATGACACCTATAATATGTATGTCGGTATTTTACGATACCTATAAATATATACGTCGGTATTTTACGATACCTATAAATATAATATATATGTAGGTATTTTACGATACCTATAAATATAATATATACGTCAGTATTTTACGATACCTATAATAAATACGTCGGTATTTTACAATACCTATAAATATAATATATACGTCGGTATTTTATGACACCTATAAATATAATATATACGTCAGTATTTTAAGACACCTATAATATATACATTGGTATTTTACGACACCTATAAATAAAATATGTAGGTCGGTATTTTACGACACCTATAATATATACGTCGTTACTTTACAACACCTACAAACATAATATATACGTCGTTATTTTACGACACCTACGAATATAATATATACGTCGGTATTTTACAACACCTACGAATATAATATATATGTCGGCATTTGATGACACCCATGAATATAAGATATACGTCGGTATTTCACGACACATACGAATATAATATATACGTCGGTGTTTCACGACACCTACGAATATAAGATATAGGTCAGTATTTCACAACACCGACGAATAAAAGATATAAGTTGGTATTTTACGACACCGACGAATATAACATATACGTCGGTATTTTTACGACAGTAAAGAATATGACGTATATGTCGGTATTTTACGACACCGACGAATGTAACATATACATTGGTATTTTATGACACCAACGAATATAAGATATACGTCGTTATTTTATGACACCGACGAATATAACATGTACGTCGGTATTTGACGACACTGACGAATATAACATATACGTCGGTATTTTACAACACCTACGAATATAACATATACGTCGGTATTTTATGACACCCATAAATATAATATATACGTCAGTATTTTACGATACCGATAAATATAATATATGCGTTGGTATTTTATGACACCTATAAATATAATATATACGTCGGTAATTTACGATACCTATAAACATAATATATAAGTCGGTATTTTATGATACCTACAAATATAATATAAAGGTCGGTATTTTACGACACCGACAAATATAATATATACGTCGGTATGTTATGATACCTATAAATATAATATATACTTCGGTATTTTACGACACGTATAAATATAATATATATGTCGGTATTTTACGATACCCATAAATGTTATAAATAGGTCGGTATTTTACGATACCTATAAATATAATATATATACTTCGATATTTTACGATACCTATAAATATAATATATACATCGGTATTTTACGATACCTATAAATATAATATATATTTCGGTATTTTACGATACCTATAAATATAAAATATATGTCGGTATTTTACGATACCTATAATATGTACGTCGGTATTTTGCGATATCTATAAATATATACGTTGGTATTTTATGATACCTATAAATATAATATATACGTCAGTACTTTACGATATCTATAATATATACATCGCTATTTTACGATACCTATAAACATAATATATACATCGGTATTTTACAATACCGATAAATATACTGTATACGTCAGTATTTTACGATACCTATAAATATAATATATGTGTCGGTATTTTATGATACCTATAATATATACATCGATTTTTTACGATAACTATAAATATAATATATACGTCAGTATTTTACGATACCTATAAATATAATATATATGTCGGTATTTTACGATACCTATAAATATAATATATAGGTGGGTATTTTACGATACCTATAAATATAATATATACGTCGGTATTTTACGATGCCCATAAATATAATATATACGTTGGTATTTTATGACACCTATAAATATAATATATACGTCGGTATTTTACAACAGCTATGAATATAATGTATAAGTCGGTATTTTATGACACCTACAAATATAATATATAGTCGGTATTTTATGACACCCATAAATATAATATATAGTCGGTATTTTACGACATCGTCGAATATAAGAAATACGTCAGTATTTTACGACACCCTCGAATCTAAGATATACGTCGGTATTTTACGACAGTGACGAATATAACATATACGTCGGTATTTTACGACACTGACGAATCTAAGATATACGTCGGTATTTTATGACACCGACGAATATAACATATACGTCGGTATTTTACGACACCGACGAATATAACTTATACGACGGAATTTCACACCTACGAATATAAGATATATGTTGGTATTTCACGACACCTACGAATATAATATATACGTCGGTATTTCACACCTATACTATATACGTCGGTATTTTATGACACCTACAAATATAATATATATGCCGTTATTTTACGACACCTACGAATATAATATATACGTCGGTATTTCACGACACCAACTAATATAAGTTATACGTCGGTATTTCACAACAACGACGAATGTAACATATAGGTCGGTATTTTACGACACTGACGAATGTAACATATACGTCCTTATTTTATGATACCGACGAATCTAAGATATACGTCAGTATTTTACGACACCGACGAATATAACATATACGTCGGTATTTTACGACACCGACGAATATAACATATACGACGGAATTTCACGACACCTACGAATATAATACATACGTCGGTATTTCACGACACCTATACTATATACGTCGGTATTTTACAACACGTACAAATATAATATATATGACGTTATTTTACGACACCTAGGAATATAATATATACATCGGTATTTCACGACACCTATACTATATACGTCGGTATTTTACGACACCTACAAATATAATATATATGACGTTATTTTACGACACCTACGAATATAATATATACGTCGGTATTTCACGACACCAACTAATATAAGATATACGTAGGTATTTCACGACAACGACGAATGTAACATATACATCGGTATTTTACGACACTGACGAATGCAACATGTACGTCCTTATTTTATGACACTGACGAATATAACATATACGTCGGTATTTTATGACACCGACGAATATAACATATACGATGGAATTTCACGACACCTACGAATATAAGATATACGTTGGTATTTCACAACACCTACGAATATAAGATATACGTTGGTATTTCACGACACCTATACTATATACGTCGGTATTTTACGACACCTACAAATATAATATATATGTCGTTATTTTACGACACCTACGAATATAATATATACGTCGGTATTTCACGACACCGACTAACATAAGATATACGTCGGTATTTCACGACAACGACGAAAGTAACATATACGTCGGTATTTTACGACACCAACGAATGTAACATATGCGTCGTTATTTTATGACCCCGACGAATATAACATATACGTCGGTATTTTACGACACCGACGATTATAACAAATACGTCGGTATTTTACGACACGGAAGAATATAACATATACGTCGGTATTTTACGGCACGTACGAATATAACATATACATTGGTATTTTACGACACCGACGAATATAACATATACATCAGTATTTTATGACACCTGTGAATATAACATATATTTCGGTATTTTATGACACAAGCGAATATAAGATTTACGTCGGTATTTTACGACACCTGCAATTATAAGTTATACACCTGTACTTTATGACACCTGCGAATGTAAGATACACGTCAGTATTTTACGACACCAGTGAATATAAGATATACGTCGGTATTTTACGACACCGTCGAATATAAGATATACTTCGGTATTTTACGACACCGTCAAATCTAAGATATAGGTCGGTATTTTATAACAGCGATGAATATAACATATACGTCGGTATTTTACGACACCGACGAATATAACATATACGACGGAATTTCGCGACACCTACGAATATAAGATATACGTTGGTATTTCACGACACCTACGAATATAATATATACGTCGGTATTTCACAACACCTATACTATATACGTCGGTATTTTACGACACCGACGAATATAACATATATGTCGGTATTTTATGACACCGACGAATATAACATATACGTCGGTGTTTTATGACACCGACGAATATAACATATACGACGGAATTTCACGACACCTACGAATATAATACGTCGGTATTTCACGACACCTATACTATATACGTCGGTATTTTACGACACCTACAAATATAATATAGATGACGTTATTTTACAACACCTACGAATATAATATATACGTCGGTATTTCACGACACCAACTAATATAAGATATACGTAGGTATTTCACGACAACGACGAATGTAACATATACGTCGGTATTTTACGACACTGACGAATGTAACATATACGTCCTTATTTTATGACACCAGTGAATATAACATATACGTCGGTATTTTACGACACCTACGAATATAACATATACGATGGAATTTCACGACACCTACGA
Organism: Homo sapiens; assembly: GCF_000001405.40. Taxonomy (NCBI): domain Eukaryota; kingdom Metazoa; phylum Chordata; class Mammalia; order Primates; family Hominidae; genus Homo; species Homo sapiens. The sequence continues at coordinate 6,533,285 of NC_000024.10, read as the reverse complement.
ATATAAGATATACGTTGGTATTTCACAACACCTACGAATATAATATATACGTCGGTATTTCACGACACCAACTAATATAAGATATACGTGGGTATTTCACGACGACGAAAGTAACATGTACGTCGTTATTTTACTACACCAACGAATGTAACATATGCGTCGTTATTTTATGACACCGATGAATATAACATATACGTCGGTATTTTTCGACACCGACGATTATAACAAATACGTCGGTATTTTACGACACGGAAGACTATAACATATACGTCGGTATTTTACGACACCGACGATTATAACAGATACGTCGGTATTTTACGACACCGACGAATATAACATATACGTCGGTATTTTACGACACTGACGAATATAACAGATACGTCGGTATTTTACGACACGGAAGAATATAACATATACATCGGTATTTTACGACACCGACGATTATAACAGATACGTCGGTATTTTACGACACCGACGAATATAACATATACGTCGGTATTTTACGGCACCTACGAATATAACATATACATTGGTATTTTACGACACCCCACCCCCCAAAAAAAGGCGTCACATTTACATAAACATAATTATCTTAAAAGCCAGTATAATTTTAATTTTATTGTAGTCATCACCTTCAGACTTTATTTTGGAGAAGTGATTACGGAAATCTGAAATATCAAGGCCTGATGAGAACACTTAAATTAACCACACTCCAGAAGTCCAAATCTGAAAAGCAAAGATGTTTCTGATATAATAGTCTAAATTCTGCATTTCCTCTCTATTGGGCAGTATGATATTGCGCACATGAAAAACAAATGCAGTGTTAAATAAAAAGTAATGGGATTAAGAGGAGTCATTGCTTAGTGAGTTAAAATGACACACAAATAAATTGAGAAGAAAACAAAGACAACGATAGAAAATACATTGTCTATTGATTTAATTCAGAATAATTTTCATTTTTCTCTATTAGCATTAAATAGTACCATTAACATAATATAATTTTGTATATTGACTTCTAACATGTGAGTGGCTTTTATTTCGTATATTTGGAAACCTAATCAAAGATTCTTTATACACTTTTCCCCCAAATTTGCTAGCCAATAGCTAGCTAAATGCTAGTTGACTGAATACCGCTCACTAAGTAGTTTGACTGTTCCCATTAATTTTAATATGAACTTTGGTCTGTATTTTGTTGACATCTTTACTAAATCTGTAGGTGGTGACATTGTTCAGGTCTCAGTCATGGATCCTCTTGGGTTTTCTCAAGGCTAAAACACCCTTTTTATGCTGACCATTAACAAATTCCCAGTTTCAGGCCAGATCTTTGTTCTGACCTTCAGACTTGGCATATCCAACTGCATGCCTTACATCTCCACATACCAAAGCCAGATCTTCATTTCATCCTCCAAACATGTTTCCTCCTACAGTATTCCACTATTTCAGAAATTCACAGCACCAAATACCCTGTGTTTCAAGCTAGAAATGTAGAGGATGATTCTTCAGGCAGCCTTTTCTCAATGACTCTTCATCATTCACATCCAACTCTTCACAGGTTGTGTGTCCCCTCTGAGAATTATATAGTCTCAGTAAATAATGACTGGCCCCTAAACAACCTTCAATCATCCTTTTTTTTTTCAATTCGTGTCAGTTTCTCTACAGAACAGCTGGAGTTCTGCAATATCAATGTTGGAGAAAGTACCATTCTCTGCAAATATTACTATTTTATTTATCACGAGATAAATGTTCCTTAAAAATGCCCACATGAAGCTATGTTAAGTAACACAATTAAATGATGGCTTTGTTTTACAGACAAGTACAAGGCAAATAGAATCCATCGTTACATGATCTTTATAACTACATATACAGGTACTAGATATTTTAGACCCCACTTCATATGTCTGAAATTTGGGTCTCAAAATACTTAACTTCTCTTAAAGTCTAATTTCAGATTACAAAAATACCTCTTTCCACAATATTGTGCTATCTCCCTTTAAGATCCAGATGGGGAATCATTAAAAACAACAACAACAACAAAAACGTCATTTTCTTCCACCTCTCCTAGCTGTGCCAAAATCTAAATTTTCTGTGGAGATGTTGTCATGTGCAATTTCACCAAAACTTTTACAACTCTAACCACAGTAGTGGCCTACCTGTTCATCCAATACCTGCACACCTGCTTTAACACAGAAAAATTTGGAAGTTAATATGATTATTAACTATTATCATTATAGACAATGGCATCTGAAGATGCTTTCCAATCTTCCTTGAATGTATGAAATTCAAAATGCCAGTACAATCTCCAAATTGTCAGTTAATCTTAGTAGCAGTGGATCATTTACAGAAGGTAATTTTGCTGCAGTGGTCAAATATTTTTGTTAAATACTGCTATTTTATAGCCATACATAGCATTAACTGACACACAGGGTATAGCTAGAAATATGATCCTAAAGAAAATGTTAAGAAATAGGTTTCTTATTTTTTGCTAAATTGCAAACTAACAGGTTAATTACCACTCTGAAGTGCTAGATAGTTGGAGTAGTATTTGCCAAGAATGAAAATGCATTTAGGGGCATACAACTTGAGAAGCCTGGAGTGAGGGAAGGATAAGGTATTTATTCCTGACTCCTGACTTGATGTTCTTTTGTGTGTGTGTGTGTGTGTGTGTGTGTGTGTGTGTGTGTGTGTGTGTTTTATTGTTTTTTGTTTGTTTGTTTTTTGGGTTTTTTTTGTTTTGTTTTGTTATTTTTTTACTTTCTCTTATGTGTGAGACCAAAGTTTCACAAATAACCCCAAATAATTATGTGGGTCATAAAATATATGTCCAGATACTTCTAGCTATTTTCCTTCAAAATCCTGGTTCAATCATCTAAAATGAGACCTGGAGAACCAGTAATTCTAACAAGTATGCTAAGAGATTATTACCAAATGACAATTGTGAGATATTTAGAAAACCATGCAGGAGCTAGGTAATCAACATTTAATAATTTGTTCTTACTATAAAGGTAAATGATTTTATTGAAATGACTATTTAGATGAGTTTTATGAAAAACACATAATTAAGCACTTCAGTGCTTTCTAATTAGTATCTTTAAAGTATGTTTTGCTAAAGTGGCAAAATTATTTTTTCATTTGAAGTTAGCATCATAGCCACAAATGACTTCTGAGTTAGCCTTTTGAAAATCTTCAGATCATAAATTCTAAAAACTATCTTGAGTGTTTATAAAACTCCAGAAAAATCACTAAGAAAAATATAAATAAAAATACCAGTATCCAAAATAATAAAAATAACTCTTACAAATATACAAGAAAAAATATATACAATCTAGCCCAGGAGAAGGAAAAAGCAGTACAGGTAAGTAGTTAGATCTTTTGTAGAAAAGAGGAAAGTCAAATGACCAATGAAAAATGACTAGATGCTTGAGCTCATTAGTAATCCAGGGATATAAATCAAAACCACATTAGGTTCTAACTTTCCTTCATTAGCTTGGCAACTATTAAAATAATAACACTGAGTGGAGTCAAGAATGTAAGAAAAGTGTAATTTTTTCCATCAATCCACAGGACTATCTAATGATATTTAGTAAAATTAGGGTGACTACAACGTTTATTGTTCCAAAGGAAACTTTTTTTTAGGATAAAAGAGTCCTAACATATACAAAACCATTTATTATTTAGTATATTATTTCCTTACAGGCAAATTGTTTTTACTATATCGATGGATCTATTACATAGTTATCTTCCAACTATTTTTGAAAGTGAAATTCCTTCAAAAATTTAAAACCACAATTACATATCTTCAAGCAAAACAGAAAAATAGTTTCTTTACATTTATTATTTAAACATTAGAAATAGTAGGCAGAATAATGACCCCGGAACATATTTATATGAAATAATCTGTTTCTTATCAATAATTATCCATAGTTCTTTTCTGGAAAATGCATTTCTTTCAATTTTATACTGGTTTTTTAAATAAAGTTACTTGCAAGCTTTTCCAAAGTTGCTTCTTGTTACCAATAAAAGTTATCAACAATGTTTAGTGTAACTGAACATTAAAAATCATTTGCCACATCATTCAATGTTTTATTTCTCACACAATAAAATTTCAAGAGCTTTATTTTAATTCCAATGATTGACTAAATGTTCAAACCATTTTTAATTTAATTTTCTGTTTGAAACATCTAAATGGCATTATTGAATTCTTTTGGAATTTCTTCTGTAGCTAATGGAGCTAACATACTAACAATTACTGATGCATATTTCTTAACTGCAAAAAAATTAGAATTAAAATATATACACAATTGATTTTTTAAAAAATAGTAATTTGATGTAAATAAAAAGCCCTGCATCTCAGAATTATATGCTTAATTTTTCCGAATTCACATACTAAACCTGTGAAAATGTCATCTTCAGGCACAGTTTTCTTAATGTAACTAAGTATTACCTTCTGAAATAGCAGCTGCTTTTTCCCCTCAGCTTTCTATATGCTGGATTTCAGGATATCACTTTTAGCCTTGTGGTTCCAACATGGAATACAAGGCTTTATGATTACATCATTTGTTTATTGGCACTTTTCAACCCATAATTTGATTTAAAGGGAAATTGAGTAGTTTTTAATTAAATACCTACTTGCATTTTTCAACCATTGCTGCTGAAACAGATTTTTGTAAAATAGTCATTAGCAAGCAGCCCATAAATAGTTGTAGGTATATGAGAGATGACAAAACCACTGTGGCCAGACCAATTAACTATGCTCTGTGTGTTAAGCTTCTATTTCTAGCACATAATTTACGTATATCTAGCCTATTATTTCCTTCATTTTCCCCAAACCTACCACACGATGATCTGGGAGTGTCATATAAGTGGACCACATAGAAAGAAAACAAAACAAAACAAAAAATAAACCATGTCAAATACTTCTTCCATCACCAGGCAAGATTGGAAGAAACTACTCATCCCTAGCTACTATTGATTCAGTGCATATTGATTTATTGTCACTCAGTCTGCTACATGCGGTCCTTAAAAAGTAGCAGGATCTATGTTTTGTGTGAACTGTGTCAGGAAACTAAAGTTGATTTTCAGATTATCCCCACACTAAAGTCATCGTTGTGTTAACATTTTATTTTTCTCACATACTGATAGAGGCCTGACAAGCTGTAATTATTAAACAAAATGAACATTTAGCACACACATGCTGGTTCTAATTAATGTAACTTATAATAATACTTCACTAAAAATGAAAAATCTAAGACATATGCTAAGCTGATTAGCATGGATCAACAATAGTAATAAAGTGGTAGTCCAGGGAGCTAATGAGAATATTTTATCTCCTCAAAATTAAAACTGTACACACACTGCAGTCCTGACATTCTTCTAGTATATTCATTAGAAACTCTCACATATGTGTAACTGGAGGGATAGGGAAGGTTTTTCATTGTAGCATTTCAATAAAGCCATCATGGAACATAAGAATTCAGTAGACTGCGAACTATGCCATCAATAATGGCAGCTGTCAACAAGAATCTTAACAGAAAAAAAATGTGAAATAATACACACCTTATAATATTGACATAAACACTCAAAATTCACAAAACACCAGTATTATCCAGAAATAAATATTTTAATAAATTTAAAAAATATGAATATAATACCAGTTCCTGATAATGGTGCCTAAGAAATGGTAAAAAGGAAACTAACCTGAGGGCAAATATTCCAATTACAACCAGAGGTAATGTAAGTAGAAAAAGGAATATATTAATAGCTGCTATTTTTAAGTGGGGTTAAATTGGTATTTGTTATATTATTTTGTATTTCTGTATCTTTTTAAATTTTCCTCAAAACCAAATAATTTTATAATACCATTTACATTGCAATCACCTTGTGAAGTAATTGCTTTACAATTTCCTTGTCTCAACTGTCACTTCCAAGAAATTAAAAAAATTAAAAATTAGAACAAGTGGTATTTTCAAAGAAAAACATTTTACAAGTGTGAGATAAAATATATTACCAGCACTTCACATTTTTTGACTCATTATCCATGTAAAATCATGTAGTAGAAGAGAGAAGGACACAAGCAGAATTTCACGTATAAATAGAGGAAACATTTGTATATTTATTTAAAATATCTTCTTTTTTATTATTATTATACTTCAAGTTTTAGGATACAAGTGCACAACGTGCAGGTTTGTTACATATGTATACATGTGCCATGTTGGTGTGCTGCACCCATTAACTCCTCATTTAGCGTTAGGTATATCTCCTAATGCTATCCCTCCCCGCTCCCCCTACCCCACAACAGTCCCCGGTGTGTGACGTTCTCCTTCCTATGTCCATGCATTCTCATTGTTCAATTCCCACCTATGAGTGAGAACATGTGGTGTTTGGTTTTTTGTCCTTGCAATAGTTTGCTGAGAATGATGGTTTCCAGCTTCATCCATGTGCCTACAAAGGACATGAACTCATCATTTTTTATGGCTGCATAGTATTCCATGGTGTATATGTGCCACATTTTCTTAATCCAGTCTATCACTGTTGGACATTTGGGTTGGTTCCAAGTCTTTGCTATTGTGAATAGTGCCGCAATAAACATATGTGTGCATGTGTCTTTATAGCAGCATGATTTATAATCCTTTGGGTATATAACCAGTAATGGGATTGGTGGGTCAAATGGTATTTCTAGATCCCTGAGGAATTGCCACACCGACTTCCACAATGGTTGAACTAGTTTACAGTCCTACCAACAGTGTAAAAGTATTCCTATTTCTCCACATCCTCTCCAGCACCTGTTGTTTCCTGACATTTCAATGATCGCCATTCTAACTGGTGTGAGATGGTATCTCATTGTGGTTTTGATTTGCATTTCTCTGATGGCCAGTGATGATGAGCATTTTTTCATGTGTTTTTTGGCTGCATAAATGTCTTCTTTTGAGAAATGTCTGTTCATATCATTTGCCCACTTTTTGATGGGGTTGTATGTTTTTTCTTGTAAATATGTTGAGTTCATTGTAGATTCTGGATATTAGCCCTTTGTCAGATGAGTAGGTTGCAAAAATTTTCTCCCAGAGGTACAAGGAGGAGCTGGTACCATTCCTTCTGAAACTATTTCCATCAATAGAAAAAGAGGGAATCATCTCTAACTCATTTTATGAGGCCAGCATCATCCTGATACCAAAGCCTGGCAGAGACACAGCAAAAAAAGAGAATTTTAGACCAATATCCTTGATGAGTATTGATGCAAAAATCCTCAGTAAAATACTGGCAAACCGAATCCAGCAATACATCAAAAAGCTTATCCACCATGATCAAGTGGGCTTCATCCCTGGGACGCAAGACTAGTTCAACATATGAAAATCAATAAACATAATCCAGCATATAAACAGAACCAAAGACAAAAACCACATGATTATCTCAATAGATGCAGAAAAGGCCTTTGACAAAATTCAGCAACCCTTCATGCTAAAAACTCTCAATAAATTAGGTATTGATGGGACGTATCTCAAAATAATAAGAGCTATCTATGATAAACCCACAGCCAATATCATACTGAATGGACAGAATCTGGAAGCATTCCCTTTGAAAACTGGCAAAAGACAGGGATGCCCTCTCTCACCACTCCTATTCAACATAGTGTTGGACGTTCTGGCCAGGACAATCAGGCAGGAGAATGAAATAAAGGGCATTCAATTAGGAAAAAAGGAAGTCAAGTTGTCCCTTTTTGCAGACGACATGATTGTATATCTAGAAAACCCTATAATGTCAGCCCAAAATCTCCTTAAGCTGATAAGCAACTTCAGCAAAGTCTCAGGATACAAAATCAATGTGCAAAAATCACAAGCATTCTTATACACCAATAACAGACAAACAGAGAGCCAAATCATGAGTGAACTCCCATTCACAATTGCTTCAAAGAAAATAAAATACCTAGGAATCCAATTTACAAGGGACGTCAAGGACCTCTTCAAGGAGAACTACAAACCACTGCTCAATGAAATAAAACAGGATACAAACAAATGGAAGAACATTCCATGCTCATGGGTAGGAAGAATCAATATCGTGAAAATGGCCATGCTGCCCAAGGTCATTTTTAGATTCAATGCCATCCCCATCAAGCTACCAATGACTTTCTTCACAGAATTGGAAAAAATTACTTTAAAGTTCATATGGAACCAGAAAAGAGCCCGCATTGCCAAGTCAATCCTAAGCCAAAAGAACAAAGCTGGAGGCATCATGCTACCTGACTTCGAGCTATACTACAAGGCTACAGTAACCAAAACAGCATGGTACTGGTATCAAAACAGAGATATAGACCAATGGAACAGAACAGATCCCTCAGAAATAATGCCACTTATCTACAACTATCTGATCTTTGACAAACCTGACAAAAACAAGCAATGGGGAAAGGATTCCCTATTTAATAAATGGTGCTGGGAAAACTGGCTAGCCATATGTAGAAAGCTGAAACTGAATCCCTTCCTTCACCTTATACAAAAATTAATTCAAGATGGATTAAAGACTTACATGTTAGACCTAAAACCATAAAAACCCTAGAAGAAAACCTAGGCAATACCATTCAGGACATAGGCATGGGCAAGGACTTCATGTCTAAAACACCAAAAGCAATGGCAACAAAAGCCAAAATTGACAAATGGGATCTAATTAAACTAAAGAGCTTCTGCACAGCAAAAGAAACCACTATCAGAGTGAAAAGGCAACCTACATAATGAGAGAAAATTTTAAAAATATCTTCTTAAGACATACTAGTGGCCAAGAAACATAAGAAAAGTGCTCAACATCACTGATCATCAGAGAAATCCAAATCAAAATCACAACAAGATACCATCTCATACCAAGTCAGAATGACTATTATTATTAAAAAGCGAAAATAATAAGAATGATGTATGTGGGCAAGGCTGCAGGGAACAAGGAACTCTTATACACTGGTGGTAAGAATGTTCAGTCACTGTGGAAAGCAGTTTGGGGATTTCTAAAAGAACTAACAATAGAACTACCATTCCACCCAGCAATCATATTACTCAGTATATGCTCAAAGGAAAATAAATCATTAAAGCTACCAAAAAGACACAGGAAATCTCATATTCATCACCATAGCGAAGACACGAGGTTAACCTAGGAGCCCATCCATGGTGGATGGGATAAAGAAAATGTGGTACATATGAACCCTGTACTAGCACACAGCCATAAAAAGAACAAAATCATCTCCTTTACAGCAACACGGACTTAGCTGTGTTATTAACCTAAGCAAATTAATGAGGAAACAGAAAAACAAATATTGAATATTCTCAATTATGAAAAAGAGCTTAAACTTAGGTGCACACAGAAATAAAGACAGGAACATTATACAGTGGGACTCCAAAGTGGGACAGAGGGAGAGAGGCAGGGGCTGAAAATCTTCCTATTGGGTACAAAGTTCGGTATCTGGGTGATGGGATCAACAGAAGACTAAACATCAGCATCACACAATATGCCTTTGTAACAAGCCTGCACATGTACTCTCTGAATCTATACTAAAAATGAAATACAAATAAAATAAATATACTACTAAAGGAAATAATATGTTACATTACAGAATTGACATTATTGCAGTGATACGTAATTGAAACATGCTAATAAAATCTATATAAGCTTTGTGGAAACGGTGATATCTCCTGACTGTCTTTAAAAGTATAAAAATGGGATGGCTACCTTATGCAAATTAATTAGACTTCAGTTGCCCTAATTAAGAGAGCATCAGCTGAGTCAAACAATAATAGATAAGTTATAATTCATGTCACCATTCTACCTTATTATATTACCTCCGAAATCATATCCCAAGTTTTCTTCTATTTTGAGAAACATCACTCTACATACATATAGAACAAAGATTGGTTTTGCAGATTAGCATGATTTTAATAGAGCAAATTCCATCTTCAAATCTGATAAGCACTTTCCAATCCATAAAACACTGTTAGAAAAACCTATCAGGCTAGACACATTTCACAGAGCCTGTGAAGTTATAAATCACTTATACCTCCCTCTTGTGTTACCATGATAATGCATAGCACTTACATACTGTTTCTTAGCTTGAAAGAGCCGAGGAACTTTAATTAATCCTTAGACTACCCAGTGAGAGAGTGAGAAGAAGACTGGTGAAGAGATCATTTAACTACATAATTCACACTTGCTTATATGTAATTCAGCATATGTGTCATGTTGTATTCTCCTAGCTTTCTATTTCAATCTTCAGAGAAATAATATTTATGTGTGAATGTATGATGCATAGGCATCTATTATGAATAAAATTATGTAGACTGCACTCTGTCTGCCACTAAAAGCTAACAGATATATGTACATCCAACACACAAAAAACATCTGGTACATTCTGCTGTATTTTCTTTTCTTATTCATTTCATATATCATCTTCAGGTATTTCAGAGTGGACTTCTTATATTTGAATAGGCTAAAAATTTTAAATAAGGAATATACAAATCTCTTGTTAATTTTTATAATTACTTTATTTTTTGGAAAATGTATTAAATATAAATGTTTATAAATGAATAAAAGAGAATATCGTATGTGAACGCTTCACTGAAATGAAAGAATATTTAACTATTCTATTTATAATTCTGTTCAGCAGGATTTCCTTCTCTGCAGGTAGCTGGCTACAGGGGTCTACCAAAACAAATCTATTTCTGCAGTGAATACCAACACTGGGTTACTCAGGAAAGAACTCTTTCAGTCTGCAAAACACAATACATCTTTTCCCTGAGCAGTGTAAATTCTTATACAGTTTTACTGTTCAACTAAAATTTCAATTTAAACATTTTCCTTCTTATTACAAAGAAAATCTGGTTACTTCTAAATTGCTTGCCCAAAATCTAATCTCTATAAGTATATAAAATTACATAGACATACACACATGCATACAAAAGAAACTGTGCAACTGGAAGACCAACTATTGTGTACATGTGTTCTGTTTTAAAAAACTTTCTACTGTACTATTTGCATTAAGGTTATAGTTGTAATTCAATCAATGACCCATTTTAAAGGAGTGGCTAGGACATCACTGGAGAAAGTGTGTACAATGCAAGAAACATTTCCCTATGCATCACTTTATTTGTAAATACATTTATACTTTATAGTTAAAATGGTTAACTTTTTTGTCGAAGACTGATACTGGCAAAAGTTTTGTTTCTTAATATATTCTTTAATTTTTTCCAAAATGTTTTTAAATATCATTCATATATTTATTCTAATTTCTTCTGGGAATAAATGGCCAAAGAAAAATGGAGAAAATAATTTTTTTCCTATAAGTTTATCATCTCCTGAGTGTCAAACTTGTCATGAAAGGAGAGATGCATCTTCTGCTCTTACTTTAGGACCAGAGTTTCCACCAACAGATTATAAATGTGAAAATAACTGCCTACTTAAAGACACTGTTCTGCAGAAAACACTATTACAGTCTGAGATTGAACCCTAAGGACTGGCCTTGGGAAACTTGAGACTTTGGTCAACTAATTTCTAAGGATGTTCTCTGTTGCAAGGGTTATTGACTCTTCAGTCAAACACTGTAACATGGAAAATCTAACCTAGTTGGCCATTTGGTTATGAGATGATAAAAAAATAAGAAAAATATTCCTGGAATGCAGATAGCCAGAACTGTAGGTCTTCAAGGAAAAGTACTCTCAGTAACAATGTGAAAGTTTGTCTGAATTTCCATTTCCACATTATGATAATTATGCCACATTTTTTAGCATTTCTGTAAATTATTTCTGGTTTTGAAAATCTTTACTTTTGAATGTGGATTTATCTTTAAAAATTAATATTGTTTCATGGGACCATTTGCTTGTATAAATTATGCAACATTTTATGGGAGTTCATATACAGACATCTCATACAAAGCAAGTGATGAGACATAAGTTTGAGATGCATTAGGGTGGATGAAAAGGAAGCAGTGTTTTTACTCTCTTGGTCTCTCACTTCCGATAAGATAAACTACAAAATACTTACAAACAAAAGTTTAAAAAAGAATGACTCAATCTCTTGTGTCCGACTGTTGTTTTGTATCCCATAAACCCTTTATGCTATATCTAAGACTTAAAGTGTTTTAAACAGTAGATATTGGTCTTTAGGATATCAAGTGGAGGCAGGGTGACACAAGCAGTTGCTGCCTGGGGGATATTATCTAACGAAAGAAGTCAGCAACAGGCAGCTGAAAGGGCAGTGGTCCAGTGCCAGCTGTTTAGCTGAGACTTGTATAAGTTTCTCAGAAATTGATAGATGCCGAGCTGCCCGTAAGTTACTTACACTTCCCCAAGAGCACCTCTCAACTAGAAAGGCAGAAGAAACACTGAAAAGGATACAACATTGGCCCAGAAGCCAGGGATGCTCTGGATGATGGCCCCTCTGCGGTCCAGGTGGGGCTTGCACCTCCGCTCCATCTTTTCCCGCTGCCGAGAAAAGGCCTTCCTGGCTTGGGCATTAACCAGCTCCAGCCCCACCCGAACGGCCAGCAGCTCCTCCAGTGCAGACTCTGGGGTCATGGGCCCAGGGCCAGGCTGTGCCCGCTGGTCCTTCTGCCGCTCCACGAGGGCCTCCTCCTCGGCCATCACCCCCACCTCCGCCATTATGTCATCCAACACCAGCACTGTCTCCTGCTTCAAGGTTGCCTCCTCCCTCTGCGCCTCGGGCAGAGTGAAGACGGTGCACCCTGAAGACGGTGTCCTTCTCCGGACTCCCATAGACCACCGCCTGTGCAGCCCGACCCATAGCACAGGAACCCTGCGCTGCCCTTTCTGTAGCCTGTGGGTGGGCGGGCCTCAGGGCGCATGCACCTGGCTTCCAGGCGCCACCTAACGGACTGCACTCAAAGGGCACCTGGAGCCGCGCCAAGACCGCCAGCCTCCCCCTGCGGCCAATCAGTGCGAGGCGGTGCGCATCTCCCTGGGCGGCACCAACCAAGGCTGGCCTGCAGTCCCAGCCTCCCGGGGTAAGCCTACTCTGAGAAGCCCTCAGAGCTAGTGCCAGGTAGCGCTGCATCCAGGCACACGCGGGCTGCGTGACCTTTGGAAATGTTGGCATGTGAGCCCTGTGCCCTAACTGACATCCTGAGTGTGGCAAGCCATTGACCCACAAGGAACACATGAAACGTCTCACTTCATTACGCAAGCCAGGTAGATGGTACGGAATATTGCAGATCCGGAGAATTCTCTGGCTGCTGGGGCGAGGGCAGCGGGAGTGGCCTGGGGAAAGTGGGTCCAGGCCGGCGCGTGGGAGAAAAGTCGCCTGGTTATGCTGAGGTTTTAATCATTGTTCTATTTTCTTCATGTACACATATTTTAGAGTGATTGAAATCACATATTTTATTTACTTACTCAACACTTGGTAGGATTTTAAATGTAATGTTTTCATTCACTACAGTATTGTGAATAGGTTAAACCTTGTATAGTGTCGTCATTCTGTCTTTCATAAATTATTCAAGAATTCTGATGCTGTTTTTCTCCCACCTGAGGAGAACATGCAGATAGTTATAAAAAATTGTGTGAGTGGGTAGGTATGAATACATAATTTGAAAGCATAGTAAAGTTCACAAATTCAATTTCACATTTGTATTTTGCATCATTTTGAAATTTTTATTTGCTGACACATGAAATTCTGTATTCACTTTCATGTTAAATAGACACTTCTGAATCAATCTGAAGAATGAAAACAATCCAAGGCCAAGCATTAGTTCAGGAAGTAAGTAGAAAGCAGTTGTTATGTAGAAAAAGCATATTTATTGAAGGTATATTTAGAGATATTTTAGGAGGCTTAAGTCAATATTTTGTTTTTGTTGTTCTGGTGTTTTATCATACTGTGAGCAGACTGTAGCATCACTAGTTATAGTCACTAGGCTACCAAAGTCTCAGGGCTGCAGTAATTATTATTGAAGAAAGTGGCAGTGTGGTTGGCTGTTTAAGGAGACTAGAGGACTTAGGAGTTTGCGCTCAAGGCATAAGGGCCTGGTTTAGTGGGTGGCCTTCTTTTGCTGAAGTAGATAAGATCCAGGAGAAGTGTGAACTCACTGTAGTAGCTAGGGCTTTGAGACTATTGAAGCCTATATGTCTCCAACTGCCATTGCCAGATATTGGTCTGCACATAATGGCACTTCCTGGACTCACTGATTCCTGTAAATTCAAATGCAGAATTTGGATTTAAATTCCTGTTCCAACATCTTAAACTTAGATCTAATAAATGGATAATAAAATATGTATTTAGAAGAAAGTGAGACATCAGATAAGTACACAAGAAAATCATCCTGATCAAATACATTCAAAAATATTACTACAAAAAAATCAGAGGATTAAGCCTTAAAAAGTTATTTAATTGGGGAAATAGGAAAAGGTTAGACTGTTTTCAACTTTGAGGTGTGAAGATACTATTATTAGAATATGGGAATTATATATAATGTCTAATTTGTTTCAAGTGCAGCATGCTAGCTATTTAGTATGGCTAGAGATTAACAACCCATGTAAGAAAACTCAGAGATTAACAACAAATTTTTTTCAGAGATTTTTTTTCTGTAATTAAAGACTTTTAAAATGGTTTCCTGTTGATCAATGATTCACTTAAATTTTTCATTTAAGCATATGCTGTATACCCTTTTACACAGGGACAAAGTTATATTTTCTATTATGTAGATAGAAAAAACATTTGACTCTGTACCACATTTGCATTTGAGTCTTTGGCCTGAGTAATGAAGCAAACAATGGAACTGCCTATGTCAGGGTACAGGTGGGCACAGCTGGAAGCTTCCATCACTTGCACCTTTAACATTTCTAGAAACTCATCATTCTCTCCTAGGAAGAAAAATGGAGTATAACCATCCTAAGGAACATATGTTACATTTAAACACTAAGTATTGAGATAAAACCATGAACTGTCTTATCACTGTGTCATCATTACTTTAAACTTGTACATATAACCTATACAAATAAATTCAGTTTATTTTGTCACCATTACCATTTTACAAGACATGTTTATGTATTTCATTCGCTTTCTAGTCCTTGATTTTTTTGGGGGTTGGGGATGGTGTTTCACTCTGTCACTCAGTCTCGAGTGCAGTGGCCTGATCTCACTGCAACCTCTGCCTCTTGGGTTCAAGCAATTCTCCTGACTCAGCCTCCTGGGTAACTGGGATTACAGGAACACACCACCACTCCTAGCTAATTTCATATTTTTAGTAGAGATGGGTTTTCCCCATGTTGGTCAGACTGGTCTCAAACTCCTGACTTCAGGTGATTCACTGGCCTCATCCTCCCAAAATACTGGAATTACAGGCATGAACCACCACAGTAGCGCCCCCTTTTTTTGAGACAAGTTCTTGCGTGGTCACCCACGTAAAGTTGGAGTGCATTGCCACCATCTTCACACACTGCAGCCTCAACCTCCAGGTCTCAAGCTATCTTCCTGTCTCAGCCTCCCATGTAGCTGGGACTACATGTGTGCAACACCACAACAGGCTATTTGTTGTTGTTGTTTAGTGATGAAGTCTTGCTACATTGCCCAAATGGGTATCACATTCCTGGGCCCAAAGGGTTCTCCTAGATCAAGCTCCCAAAGTGCTGGAATTACAGGAGTGAGACACTGTGGACAGCATTGTCACTCTTTAATCACTTTTTAAATGCCACCCTTCAAAAGTAATAAGTAAATTTTTACTTACGGAATTCCAAATTCCAAGTCAAGTTCAGCTTCTTTTTCATAAAGAGAGAAAAACAAACAAAACAAAACAAAAACTTCTTTTTCCTTTTTTTTAGTCAGCAAAGAGTTGGAAAGCAAATCATCTCTACTTTAGTTTACAAAATTGACTGTACAGAGAAAGATGCTCATATAATTGTTTTCAGATCTAAAATCCTATGAAGTTATCATCAGAACCATCAACTTATAACATGAAAACAAATTTCCTATTGGGTTTTTTATGTGCATTAAATATCTTATAATTAGTAATTTATACAATTGTGATCATACTTCTTCCTTGAACCATAATATTAAAAATATGAACCTCATTTTGTAGAACTGCTACCCTAATAAGAAAACTCACTGCTGACCTGGTATAATAATCTGTGGCACAGACAGCCAGCATTCTGAACTATTCAGGTTCTTCAGATAGCCCAAGGGTGCTGAGAGCCAAATGGGAGTCTGGACATCTTGGAGGAGTAGCAATGCCAGGTCATTCCTTGCTGCCCCATTCACCAACTGGCATCTCTCATGCAGTAGAATGGTAGACACCTTCACAACTCTCATTGGTGCCCCAGGGTGCCTCAGGCCCAGAATCACAGCAGTGTCTTCAGGATTCCTGTATGCATAGGCAAATATTTATTATAGTACATTCTTTAGAAAACCTGAAACTTCCGCAATGGTTGAACTAGTTTACTGTCCCACCAGTGTGTAAAGGCGTTCCTATTTCTCCACATCCTCTCCAGCATCTGTTGTTTCCTGACTTTTAAATGATTGCCATTCTAAGTGGTGTGAGATGGTATCTCATTGTGGTTGTGATTTGCATTTTTCTGATGGCCAGTGATGATGAACATTTTTTCCTGTGTCTGTTGGCTGCATAAATGTCTTCTTTTGAGAAGTGTCTGTTCATTCCTCCAGGATCTAGAACTAGAAATACCATTTGACCCAGCCATCCCATTACTGGGATTATACATGAAAGATTATAAATCTTGCTGCTATAAAGAAATATACACACATATGTTCATTGTGGCACTAGTCACAACAGCAAAAACTTGGAATGAACCCAAATGTCCATCAAAGATAGACTGGATTAAGACAATGTGGCATATATACACCATGGAATACTATGCAGCCATAAAAAAGGATGAGTTCATGTCCTTTGTGGGGATACGGATGAAGCTGGAAACCATCATTCTCAGCAAACTATCCCAAGGAAAAAAGAACAAACACCACATGTTCTCACTCATAGGTAGGAACTGAACAATGAGAACACTTAGACACAAGAAGGGGAACATCACACACCAGGGCCTGTCATGGGGTGGGGGGAGTGGGGAGGGATAGCGTTAGGAGATATACCAAAGTAAATGATGAGTTAATGGGTGCAGCACACCAACATGGCACATGTTTACATATATAACAAACCTGCATATTGTGCACATGTACCCTAGAACTTAAGGTATAATTTAAAAAGTTAAAAAAAAAGAAAACCTCAACCTTAAGTCTACATCAGGCTTTCCAGTATATTGCTTTAGTCATGATACACAAGGTCCCTAGCTCATCTTCGGAGAAATCAGAAATCTATGAATAAAGAGTCCATAGACAATGGGATTGCAGAGGAATTAACTAACAGAGGTACTATAAGCCAAACACAGTGAGACAATTTCTTTTTAGCCTAAAAAAAGTTATCTGTATAAGTGAGATGGTCATGCATTATAGAAGTGAATTTGGACATAGACACCATCAGCAATGTAATTATGGGATAATGAGTTATACAGTTGAGAAGAGGCAGGCACAATCTTACACGTTGCTAACATAGTGGGCAGCTGTGAGAACCCAAGAGCTGCTAACTATGGCAGACATGACTGCCAAAGCTGTTGATCCCAGCCTTCCAAGGCATGGCGTATTCAAGAGAAATCTGATCTGCTGAAGCTGAGGAGGAATAATAAGCTAACTGTGCTAATTTAAATAGAATTGCCATTTGTAGACCATTTTTTAAAGTTTTAAATCCTCCTATTTCTGCTATTTGAGTCAGTATTGTTAAATATGACTAACAAAGACAAACTTCTGCTTCTTCTGTGTTCATGAATTTTTCTTGAAAATAAGTATGCCTCTTATTGTCTTTCCAAGATCATAGTTTCTTTAAGTCCTAGCTTAAGTTTATTTAATCAAAATACTGGGAGTCATTCCAGCTTTCTCCCCCATTGCAACATTTATATATCTATGATTTTAGCTACTTAGAAGTCACTGAAGTAGATAGGCAACAAAAAATGCAATGATTTGAAGATATTAGATAAATAATGAAAAATTTGGAGATAAAGCACCTGTCTCTAAATTGGAGAGGGCTTATCTTCATAAACTTATAATGTTAGTAAGATACCAAACCAATATTTTAAATAGAAAATTCAAGTCTGAGTTTCAGGAAAGAGCTCATATTTTTAAAATCATTTGAGAGTTCCTCAGAAAATTGAGTGGAAGATATACTCATCAATATATAAATAGGGAGAGAAAAATGGTGAAGATAATCTGTCTATAGAAGGGGTAAGCAACTAGAGATGAAATTGGAAGCATAACTAAGATCTTATATGTAATTGTCTCTGAATTAGACTTTGGCGGATGTGAGCAAATAATTATGGCCTCCTTTATGTTTTAAATGTATTATTCACCGTAGCTATGGCAATGGGTGTTAAGTATAAAATAGCTGTGGTTAAGAGCATGTTTAATTGATGAGACCGAAAGAGATGTCTCAATTTCCAAGAAAATAAGAGGATAGACAGTAATGTGAAATAGCCATTGCTAATATTCTGGTAGGTTTTCTAGCAGCCAGGGGAAGGGAGAAACTGATAATCCCAATGTAATGCAGTCTGGTACACCGTCACCTACATCTCATTACTTACCAACTATGCTGTTTCCAAATATCATATCTTTAACTTAAAATATACTTAATTTAAAATAACTCTATTACAAATGTAAGCTTCTGTGTGGTAGTAAAGAAATGTCTTTGTATTAGGAGAGTGTGTCTTAATGATAACCCAGTTCATCTTTTGCCATGGGAATTTGATCAGTCCATTGTATTTATGTAGTATCAGAATATACATTTAAGATAAGTATAATAATCATGTTATATGTTCTATATCAGAGTAATCTATGGGGATACTCTGGGAATTGTATCATATATCAAGTATGAGATGCCTTTGTAAGCCAAAAAGAAAATAATTTCTATGATTTGGTAGATAAAAAACTCATGCATTTCTCAGGAAGAGCTTTAGCTCCCATTTCCTTCTCTCTATTATTTTATATTTCCATTTTCTTCTTCCTTTACTTGTCCTACCAGGTTTTTGAGCCTTACTCTGAGGCTGTGGCAGAGAGATGAAATGTGGCCACATTGAAGTGGGAGTGGGGATAAAAGCTGAAGCATTTGTAGAAGTAGACTGAAAGGGACATGGAAGCAGAAGTAGTCATGGGCCCTTGGTGTTGCCAGGGTCCATGGCTAGGTCATGTCACTCCTTGGAGCCAGAAAAGGAAAGCACTAAAATACAAATACTCCTCTAGAAACTATTTTCAAGGATTATTTGAGAACAGGTGGGCAACATGATAAGACTTTAATTCTGCTGAAAAAAATAGCCAGATGCATTGGTGTGTGCCTGTGGTCCCAGGTACTCAGGAGGCAGAGGTAGGAGAATTCCTTAATCTTGGTAGTTTGAGGCTACTCTGAATCATGCCACAGAACTCCAGCCTGGGCAACAGAGCAAGACCCTGTCTCTATCTATCTTTCTCTCTGTCTTTCTCACACACACACACACACACACACACACACACATACACACACACAAATAAAGGGAAATATATTCATTTATAATCTCAATGTTGTTATTGTTTTATAATTATATCTTAATCTTAAGATGAATTACTTAGACTCACATAAAATTGGCACATCTAGCTGTAGTAAGGAACCACTGTTCATTTAGTATGGAGCCAGCACAGACATGAGAGAAAGTGGTACAGCAACTATCCAAGGGAATTCACCAATTTCTGACTCCCAGCAGTTGGGACAGAGGGTGACATTGCCAGGGCATAATCCACACTCTGCAGAAGGAATATACATATGGAATAGAGTGAGATTAGTGTTACTACTCTTCCATTTCTAAAATCTAATTTTAGGTTTTTAGGAATAAGCTTGGAAATTCAGTATCTTCAATCTGAGAAAATCCTTGGAAATATACATTATTCATCCTACAAGTTTAGATATACTACAGAGGTTATCTGCATGCTTTTCCTTCAAATAATAATTTAATGTATATATAAATATATATCTTATTATTTATATCCAAGATATTATACTATTATCCAATAATGTGTGTATATATTTATATACCTCAAGTGGAATAATAAATCCTTTCTAAGAAGTAAGACTATCTTTAAAATACTGTTCTCTGAATAGAATTGTGTTTATAAAACATAGCCCACAAATCCTGTCTGGCAAAAATAAGATATTCTCTCAATATTGGGATGTCTGTGCTGATTCATACAATAACATAAATTTTGGTTTTGCAAAGGTTTGAGGACATAACCTCTGATCTTACAAACTGTGGTTTTAGGGTTCAACAAGAGTCTTTGTACCAGGTATAATAACTTAAACATATGACTAGACCAAAGGTGCCTGTGGTTTCATGAGAAATAACAACTATTCTGAAGAGCCAGAAAGCCTGCAAACTTTCTTTCCAGATCACAGCTAGTTGACACTCAACCAGGGAAACATTTGAGTTCTGAATGCCTAAGAGGTTGTTGTTCAGACTTGGGTCCAGATTGTCCAGGCATCAGATGAGGTTATTTTGTTAAAAGTGTGGCTGCAGCAGCATGCAAGAATGAAAAAGAATGAGAAAGAATGGACTCTTCAGGAAATGTTGAGGAAAATATTTTCTGAAGGGCGTTAGCAGAAGAGGCTATGGAAAGGAGAATAGGAGAGGAGACAAGAGGAGAAATAACTGAACAAGATGGGAAAATGAAGAATGAAGGGAATGTACCAGAAGAAAAGACGGAACAAGAAGGGCACAGTGTACATGGAGATGGAAGAGAATAAGAAAGAGGAAGGAAAATGGAGGAAGAAAGAGAGATAAGAGAGGTACCTGGGACATCAGGGCATTGTTTTATTTGGATAATTTTTAATTTCCTGCTTTAGTGCTGGTAAACAGCTCTTCCAGGAAGCCAAATGCTTGTAAGCTGGCTTGGTTGGAGATAATTGATTTCATATTGGCTTTCTGAGGCAGTTATCTCAGTTAACAGAGAGATAAAATACTGATCTGGGAAAGAAACAGTTTTTTACAGGCAAAAAGAGTGCACGTTTAGACAAGCAGCCAAAATGACTCATTAATAGTGTCTCTCAGACTCAATTTCAGGAGGAGAAAACTATGCACTTATATCAGCCTTATAATGGGTTCTGGGTCTTAGTATTTCTGTTTCAGGCTGGATCCAGGTTCTTACTATGCCAGCTTTAAAAACACCAAAGGATTCAATAATATCAGCTTCAGACTGGATCCAGTGTCTGTCTGCTTAGGTTACAGGCAGTATCCAAGATATGAGTGTTCTTCCCATAAGCAAGGTCCATGTTTTGACTACTGGAGATGGAACCTTGGGCCAGAATCTTAGTAGGAAGGATTCAGACTGGATAAAAGATGGAATTATATCAACTACCAGCTGGATCCAGGGACTGACTCTTTGAGATTTTGAATAAGCCCATGATCTGCCTTTATTCATGTGAATGTAAAATGAAGATCTGACTATATCAGTTTCCTGCTTGATCCAGGATCTCACTGCTTGGGTTTCAGGTGGGTCCAGGTTGGATATGTAGCAACTCTTTGCTGAGTCTAGGGCCAAAATATACCAACTTCAGTCTGGGGCCAGGGAGAGAGCAGCTAACTTTCAGGATGAATCCAGGTTCTAACTGTATCACATTGAGTCTATAAGCAAGATGTGACTGTATCAATTTCAGTCATGTTGCAGGGTTTCATTTCTTGACTTACAGTCCAAATTTGGAATACTTCAGTTTCAGGTTGGTTCCAAGATCTTATTGAATTCGAATCTGGAACCAGTATCTTATCACTGTATTGGCT
Organism: Homo sapiens; assembly: GCF_000001405.40. Lineage (NCBI taxonomy): Eukaryota > Metazoa > Chordata > Mammalia > Primates > Hominidae > Homo > Homo sapiens. Next base: position 6,511,470 of record NC_000024.10, on the reverse strand, counting down.
TCAGAGTGGGTCCAGGGATGAATTTCAGAATAAGTCTATTGTATGATTGTAGCAGGTACATGCTGAGCCCAAGGGTAATTTATGCTAATTTGATTCTGGGTCCAGAAGTGTGTCATTTGAGATTCAAATTTGGTCCAGGTCCAAACTGCAGCGCTTTGAGCTGGGGACCAACTTGTCAACATACCTGCCTCAGGTCAGGTCCTAATTGCTTGAGATTCAGGCTCAGTCCATTGTTTTATTTTATCAGTTTCAGAATGGGCCCAGAGTCTGACTGTATTGGTTTCAGCATAGATCCAAGGTTGCAGAACATCACCTTCAGACTGGGTCCAGGGTCTGACTGCATTCTTTTCAGATTGGTTCAATGGTTGGATTATTTGCCATTCTGGCTTCATCCGGGTAGTAACTCTGTGAGAATAAAGTTGAGTACCATTTCTTCTTACACTGTTTTGGGTCTGAAACCCAGCACTCAGAGTATTAATGTCAGGCATGGTCAAGCATTTCACTGCCTGCATTTCAGCCTGATACAGTAGTGTATCAGACAAGGATCGTATTAGTTTTACCTTGAGTCCAGGGGTGGATTGTGCCTGTTTCAGTCCAGATCCATAGTTTTACTGTAGCAGCTTCAGAAATGATCTGGGGTCTCATTGTACCTACTTCAGATTGGGTACACAGGAAGGAGGCATCAGTTTCACATTGGATCCATGTTATAAATGTTGTAGTTCTCTGTTTGGCCCAGGATTCTATTTTACCAAGTTCAAAGGGAGTAAATGTGCTTAATGTTTGAAATTCTGGCTGAGCCCAAGGTTTTATTTTTTCTGTTCCAGTTTTAAACAAAGTTCTGTAACTAGAGCTTCAAGTTTGGACCATGGTTTTGCTGCCTGAGGCATAGGCACTATCCAAGATATAAGTGTTCCAAATTTAGGCAAGGTCCATTCATCGATATTTTCAATTTCATGATGTGTCCGTAAAATTGATGCTTGATTTTCATCTTGGATCAAAGGTTGTGTGGTATCAGGTTGAGACAGTAATGAAATTCTATAAATAATTTAGCTTCAGGCATTGCCCAGAGTTTCTTAGCTTCAGTTTTAAGCATTGTCCAAAATGAGCCCATATCACTCTGTGTACAAGAATTTGCAGCGGGAAAATCATCATAGGTCCACTTTGTGTCTGTGGAAGCTGCGGTCTCTGTCCATGTGTTTACCACTGGAGACTCAGACTGGGATCATGGCATGATTGATTCAGACACAGTTAGTGTCCAGGCTTTTTCTGCTGAAGGGATATCCTGGGTCCATGGTAACACTGAGGAAACTATGGCCCATGCCCCTGGATTTTCTGCTGAAGATTCATCATATGTCCACGATGTAAGTATATCAGATACAGTCTGTGTCCAGGTAATTCCTACTGGATACTGGGCCTGCAGCCACAGTATAATTTTGTCAGATACTGGCTGTGTGGAGGTAATGACTGCAGAAGATTCAGCCTGGGTCCACAGTGCAACTATATCAGATATGGGAGGTGGCCAGGGACTTGTTGCTAGAAGTAAAGCTTTGGTCCATGGGGTGACTTGGAAACTATTGACTCTATCCACGATTGACTGCTAGAGATACAGGCTGGGTCCACAATGATAATTTATTAAATATAGGCAGTAATCAGGGATTTACTGCTGAAGATTCAAATTGGATCAATCCTATGTGTGTGTCAGATACAGGCAGTATCCACATAATTAGTGCTGCAGATTCAGATTGGGACCATCATCTGGTTGTATTAGGTGAAGGTTGTGTCCAGGCCTTTACTGTTGCACATACAGCCTGTGCCCAAATTGTAGCTTTATAAAAAACAGGCTGTGTCCAGGTATTTATTGCTGGAAAATCAGCCTTGGTCCAGAGTGTAACTTAGGAAGCTATAGCTTCTGTCCAGGTATTTATGGGTAGACATTCAGTTTGATGCCCTGTTTTCAGTGTAGCATGTAAACTTTGTGAAAAGAAGATTAATGATGGAGTTACAGGCTGTGTACACAGTGTGAGTGTATCAGCAACAGGATTTGTCAAGGCATTTACTGCCAAAGATTCAGTCTGGGTCCATGGTGTGACTGTATCAATAGTCTCATCCTGCAACAGAGGACCTGGGGCTGGAGATTCAGACACTGTCCAGATGTTTACAATTGGAGACTTAGACTTCATCATGGGATTTACAGCTGGAAATTCAGCCTCATTCCAAGTGATTACTTAGATGTTTTGTTTAGGTCCATAGTGTGACTGTATCAGGTACAGGTTGTAACCAGAAATTGATTGCTGAAGATTTTGTCTGTGTCCATGTTATGACTGTATCAGCTAGAGCCTCTGCCCTGGGAATTATTATTAGAAATACAGCCATGTACTGCAGTGTGACTATACCAGTCACAGCCACTGTTAAGTGACTTATTGCTGGCAACATATCCTGGGTCCATGATGTAACTTTCTCAGTTTTAGACTGGCTCCATGGATTTACTGCTACATAAACATTCTTAGCCAATGGTTTCAATCTATCAGTAGAGTTTGTGTACAGAGATTATTGATTGTAGAATCAGCCTGAGTCCACAGTAAGACAATTTCTGCTTCAAGCTCTGTGGAGGGATTTACTGCTACTCTTACCTGCTTGGTTCTGTGGTATAACTAACTGTAGCAGGTATAGGCTGTGTCCAGGCATTTACTTTTGGACATTTAGTCTTGGTCCACTGTGTGAGGATATCAGTTTCATATTGTTTCCAGAGATGTATGGCAGGTGATTTGACTTGGTTCCATAGTTTGATTGTATAACCTATTGCCCTTGTCAAATGCTTTACTGCTGAAGACTCAGCCTGGGTCCATGGTATGAGTGTATCAGATACAGATTTGATCCAAGGCTTTCGTGTTAAAAATTCAAACTGAGTCCACGAAATGTATCAGCTACAGGTTCTGTCCAGTACCCTACTACTGGAGGTTCAGCCTGAGGCCATAATGTGTCTGTATCATACACAGGCTGTGTCCAAAGATTTCCTGCTGGAAATTCAGACTGTGCCGTCAGTGTGATAGTAGCAGCCCAAGGCAGTATTCATGGAAATCCTGCTGTTAATTCAGCCCCTTTCTATAGTGTGATACTATCAGCTATGGAGGTTGTCCAGGTATTCACTGATAGATATTCAACGTGGGTCCAAGCTATGACTATCGAAGGTATAGGCTGTGTCCATGGAATTTCTGCTGGAGATACAGCCTGGGCCCATGGTATGACTGTGGAAGTAACATCCTCTATGCACAGATTTACTGTTGGAGACTTGGCTTGTATCCACAGGATAATGTTATCAAATTCAGGTAGTGTACAGAGTTTTACTGCTGAAGACTCATCTTGGTCCCATGGTTTGATTGTATAAGATAGATACTGTGTAAATGGATTCATTGCTGGAGAGGCATCCTGAATCCATGGTATGTACTATCACCTAGAAACTTTGTACAGAGATTTATGGCTGGAAATTCAGGCTTGGTCCACAGCTTGTCTGCATCAGCTATTGTCTATGTCTGTGAATTTACTGCTAGAGAATCATTCAGGATCAACTCTTTGACTGTATACGTTTCAGACTGTGTCCATGCATTTCCTTCTATAAATTCAGCCTGATTCCTTGGTAGGACTGTTGCGGAAGTCAGGAACCCTGAATGGAGGGACCAGCTGAAGCCACGGCAGAAGAACATAAATTGTGAAGATTTCATGGACATTTATTAGTTCCCCAAATTAATACTTTTATAATTTCTTACGCCTGTCTTTTTTTTATTTTTAAACTTTTTAATAAAGAAATTAACAAAATTGACCAAATGTCAGGTGAAAGAAAGCATATTAATCATAAATACATATAATTATTATTTTTTTTTAATTAATTTTTTTTTATTTTAAGTTTTAGGGTACATGTGCACATTGTGCAGGTTAGTTACATATGTATACATGCGCCATGCTGGTGCGCTGCACCCACTAACTCATCATCTAGCATTAGGTATATCTCCTGATGCTATCCCTCCCCCCTCCCACCACCCCAAAACAGTCCCCAGAGTGTGATATTCCCCTTCCTGTGTCCATGTGATCTCATTGTTCAGTTCCCACCTATGAGTGAGAATAAGCAGTGTTTGGTTTTTTGTTCTTGCGATAGTTTACTGAGAATGATGATTTCCAATTTCACCCATGTCTCTACAAAGGACATGAACTCATCATTTTTTATGGCTGCATAGTATTCCATGGTGTATATGTGCCACATTTTCTTAATCCAGTCTATCATTGTTGGACATTTGGGTTGGTTCCAAGTCTTTGCTATTGTGAATAATGCCGCAATAAACATATGGGTGCATGTGTCTTCATAGCAGCATGATTTATAGTCCTTTGGGTATATACCCAGTAATGGGATGGCTGGGTCAAATGGTATTTCCAGTTCTAGATCCCTGAGGAGTTGCCACACTGACTTCCACAATGGTTGAACTAGTTTACAGTCCCACCAACAGTGTAAAAGTGTTCCTATTTCTCCACATCCTCTCCAGCACCTGTTGTTTCCTGACTTTTTAATGATTGCCATTCTAACTGGTGTGAGATGGTATCTCATTGTGGTTTTGATTTGCATTTCTCTGATGTACGCCTGTCTTTACTGCAGTCTCTGAACATAAATTGTGAAGATTTCATGGACACTTATCACTTCCCCAATCAATACCCTTGTGATTTCCTATGCCTGTCTTTACTTTAATCTCTTAATCCTGTCATCTTTGTAAGCTGCGGAGTATGTTTGTCACCTCAGAACCCTGTGATGTTTGCGTTAACTGCACAAATTATTTGTAGAGCATGTGTGTTTGAACAATATGAAATCTGGGTACCTTGAAAAAAGAACAGGATAACAGCAATGTTCAGGGAACAAGAGAGATAAACTCTGACTGCCGGTCAGCTGGGCAGAACAGTACCATATTTCTCTTCTTTCAAAAGCAAATGGGAGAAATATCGCTGAATTCTTTTTCTCAGCAAGGAACATCCCTGAGAAAGAGAATGTGTCCCTGAGGGTAGGCCTCTAAAATGGCCACTTCGGGGGGTGGCCGTCTTTTATGGTCAAAGCTGTAGGGATGAAATAAGCCCCAGTCTCCTGTAGTGCTCCCAGGCTTATTAGGAAGAGGAAATTCCTGCCTAATAAATTTTGGTCAGACCGGTTGTCTGCTCTCAAACCCTGTCTCCTGATAAGATGTTATCAATGACAATGTGTGCCTGAAACTTCATTAGCAATTTTAATTTTGTCCTGGTCCTCTGGTCCTGTGATCTTGCCCTGCCTCCATTTGCCTTGTGATATTCTATATACCTTGTGAAGCACAGGATCTCTGTGACCCACATGCTATTCGCACACTCCCTACCCGTTTGAATATTACTAATAAAAACTTGCTGGTTTTATGGCTCTGGGGGCACCATGGAGCCTGCCAATGTGATGTCTCCCCCGGACACCCAGCTTTAAAATTTCTCTTTTGTACTCTGTCTCTTTATTTCTCAGAGTGGCCGACACTTAGGGAAAATAGAAAAGAAGGTATGTGAAATATTGGGGGTGAATTTCACCCGATATCTGGCTGAAATTCCCCTGATAGGACCATATCAGCTGTAGCCTTTCTCTAGGGATTCATTGCTGGAGTTTCAGCGATAATCCATGGTTGAGTCCAAGATATCTGTGGATGTTCAGCATGGGTACATGGTAGGAATATATCAGGTAACCAGGGACTTACTCCTAGAGTTTCAACAAGAATCCATGTTGTGACTATATCAGTTTCAGACTCTGTCCAAGGATTTAATAATAGTGATTCAGCCTGGATACACATGATCATATCAGATAGAGTTTATCCATGAATTCATCACTAGTGATTCAGCATGTGTCCCTAGTGGGATTATATCCATTTCCAACTGTTTCCAGGAATGTTTTGCTGAAGACTCAACCTGGATTCATAGTGTTATTGCTTCAGTATCAAACTGTATCCAGTAATTTACTGCTGGCAAATAAGCCATGGTCCACAATGAGACTGGATTAAATTCAGATGGGAGTCGGGTATTTCCTTCTAGATATTCAGGCTGCAATTTTGTCCTTGGATTTATTGGTGACATTTCATCAAGGATCAATTGTATGACGGTTTCAGCTGTAGTTTTTCCCAGGGATTCATTGTTGGAAATCTATCCTGGATCCATGGTGTGACTGTCTTAGCCATAAGACTCTGTCAAGGGAAATAAGGCTGGAAATTCTTCTTGGTTCCAACATGTGACTTCATTCGATACAGAGCGTGTCCAGAGATTTACTGTTGGAGATTTGGCAATAGTTCACAGTATGATTGGATCAGTTTCAGACTGTCTTCAGGATGTTTACCCTTGAAATTCAGCCTTTGTCCATGTTGTGAGTGTATCTGCTAACATCTTGGTCCAAGATATGAAATTATTGGAGTTTCATTCTGGGTCCACAGTGGGACTGTGTGAGTTTCAGATTGTGTCCATGGATGTAATTCTTGAGACACTCCCTGCATCCACTGTGTTAATACAGTAGCTTTACCTTGTACCCAGGGGTCAATTACACCAATGTCTTTCTGATTCCAGGGTCTCAAAGTATCATCTTCAGCTTGGGTCCACAATTTGACTTTAACACTTTCAAACTTGTCCCAGAGTCTAAATGCATAAGCTTCATGTTGTATCCAGTCTTTTAACTTATCAGCCACAGGTTGGTTCCAAAACATCACTATTTCAGTTTCAGACTGTATCCAATGGTGATCTGTCAGAGTTACTGGTTCTCTCCACTGTGTGACTGTCTCTGATTGAGACTGAAATAAAAGTTTGATGATATCAGCTTCAGTGTGATTTCGGGGTCTGGATCTATCATCTCCAGGTTGGGGCCTGGGTACCACTGTTTCCATCCCAGTTTGGGACCAGTACCTAACTGGATCTGCTTCTGGTTGGGTCCAGTGTTTTTCTTTCCATTCTTGAGTCTGGGCTCTAGGCCTCAATATTTTAAATTTATGCTGAATGCCGAGTCTCATTCTTTCAGTTTCAGTTTGTAACAATGGTTTAATCATATCAGCTCTCAAGTGAATCAAGAGTCTTCCTGATTGAGATTCTGGCTAGATCCAGGTAAGGACTATGGCTGTTTTAGGCTGACTTCAGGGTCTGATCATGTCAACTTTGGAGTGAAGGAAGGGCTCAATTATATTCATAATAGGATGTATTAAGATCCATTTCTGCATCAGGGGTTTGAGTATAATAGCCTCATGTTTACTAAATGGACTACATCTATTGATTTGATTTGAGGGCCTGATCATACTGGTTTTCTGTTGCGCCCAAGCCTTAATATTGTCACCTTTTGACTTAGCACATGAAGAGTATGCAGTATAGAAGAAATCCAGAACTGAGTGGACTCAGGTTCAGTGAGAATCCAGTATCCATCTGAGCTTTCTATAGTTTCTTGAGGATCCAAATACATTTAAAACTAGCTGACACCATGTTTCAATGGTATGGGTTACTGTAGTATGCTGAGATCAATCTTCATCGAGGGATGAATGAGCCCATAGTTCAATTTTATTATCTATGAAAGGTACTGGTGGAATCTAGTTGTAAGTTACCAGTTTAGTGCCAGGGTTAGCTCTATGCACTACGTGATACATTTTTTTTTCTATTACTCTCTTCCCTGGATTGAATCTACATCACTGTTCCTGTTTTATAAGATAAAAATTGTTTCCAAGCTTCAACTTCAGGGGTAATTTCTAGCCGAGGTCTAGCTACAAGTTGCCCATGAGATGGAACATTAATAGATTGAACTTGAGACAGATGAGTATCCCTCTTAACAGGAACTTGAGATCCACCTATCCCACTTGAAAAGAGAAACCACCATCTACCAGCATTAACTAACTGCAGAGTATGAAGCCTAATTATACTAGCTAATGTATTAATCTAGAATCTTGCTGAATCAGTTACAGCTTAATATTTATAATTTATTGTATTTTTCTGAGGAAAATTCCAGGGTATAGGTTTAATAGCTGTTTGGGAGTTCTGGGGTCCAGAAAAAAAGAAATATTGAGATTTGTCCATTTCTGGGGTACCCCAGCATTCAGCTGTATCAGGATGATCCCACAGTTTGGCAACAGGAGAAATCCAGGATCATACCATTGGGAATTTGCTAGCTGAAGAGAGGTGACCACTTTGAAAGTGTAATGGTCTATTGGCATAAAATAGTCTCTATTATTTGAACCAAAAAAACATTGAATGAAGGTTCCAGTGCCTTCTGTTCACTGAGGAAGTGCTTAATCTTCTCCTACATGTTTGTTCTCAGAATCCATGAAAAAGCAAAGTGACAGAGCCTGTGTTAGAGCTAAGTGTGTTTTGTGGACTATCTTCTACTCCAGGATAAAATTGCAAGGTAGAGAAAAAAATGGGACCCAGTGGTTTCTGGGATGCCTTGATAAGCCATCTCATTCAAGATATGTATTGGGCTGTCCTGATGAAAAGAACAGGGTCATAACAGGCTTCTGAGGTAAAACTGACCAGGCCTACCAGTTCCCAGTGACTGCCAAAGAGGCAAAGAACAGGACGACTTTGCTGTACTTGAATGGTTGGAAACAAAGTTAACCATATATATTAGAAATACTTATAGACATGTAATATACATGGATTACAATGTATAATGCATAAATTACTTATGTATGCAATACATATACAAATTATAAAATACACAGATACATATCTTGTATATGTTTATGAATACTTATATCTATAAATTGGTTATATAGCTTATATGGCTTATACAAATATTAAATTAAAATATAATAAATTATAAGTTATACTTTTCTATCACATGTAAATTTTATATTACTTGATGGGCAGTAATAAATATTACATGGTACATACTTCAAGAGTTCCATATAACACTTAGGCTTAAATAATTCTAACTCTGGTTAAAACAGTAAAATCAAATACTAGAAAGAAATTAGAGGAAGGTTCCAAACAATAAAAAATCACCTACATACTCATTACATTTGTTGAAGCCATCATCATTTGTTTGGTCTCTCTGCTTGATTCTGATACCCACTTGCAGCTTACAGTTTGTTCTCCCAATAGCCAGAATTACACTCAGAGTAAAAGCACTTATTCTAAAATTGACTACATAATTGGAAGTAAAACACTCCTCGGCAAATGCAAAATAACAGAAATCATAACAAACAGTCTCCCAGGTCACAGTGCAATCAAACTAGAACTCAGTATTTAAAAATTCACTCAAAAGTGCACAACTATGTGGAAACTGAACAACCTGCTCCTGAATGACTACTGGGTACATAATGAAATGAAGGCAGAAATAAAGATGTTCTTTGTAACCAATGAGAACAAAGACACAGCATACCAGAATCTCTGGGAAACATTTAAAGCAGTGTTTTGAGGGAAATATGTAGCACTTAATGTCCACAAAAGAAAGTAGGAAACATCTAAAATTGGCACACTAACATCAACATTAAAAGAATGGAGAACAAGAAAAGCAAAAGCAAACAAATTCAAAAGCTAGGAGAAGACAAAAATAACTAAGATCAGAGCAGAACTGAAGGAGACAGAGATATGAAAACCCTTCAAAAAAATCAATGAAGCCAGGAGCTGCTTTTTGAAAAGATCAACAAAATAGATAGGCCACTATCCAGACTAATGAAGAAAAAAATAAAGAAGAATCAAATGGACTCAATAAAAAATGATAATGGGGATATCACCACTGATCCCATAGAAAAACAAACTACCATCAGGGAATGCTATAAACATCTCCATGCAAATAAACTAGTAAATCTGAAAAAATGGATAAATTCCTGGATGCACACAGCCTCCAAAGCCTAAACCAGGAAGAAATTGAATCTCTGAATAGACCAATAACAAGTTCTGAAATTGAGGCAGTAATTAGCAGCCTATGAACAACAACAACAACAAAATCCAGGAGTAGACGGTTCACAGAAGAATTCTACCAGAGGCACAAAGAGGAGCTGGTACCATTCCTTCTGAAGCTATTCCAAACAATAGAAAAAGAGGCAATCCACCGTAAGTCACTTTATGAGGCCAGAATCATCCCGATATCAACATCTGGCAGAAACACAGCAAAATAAGAAAATTTCAGGCCAATATCTCTGATGAACATTGACGCAAAAATCCTCAATGAAACACTGGCAAACCAAATCCAGAAGCACATCAACAAGTGTATCCACCATGAAGAAGTCAGGTTCGTACTTGGGATGTAAGGCAGAATCAACATACACAAATTAATAAACATAATCCATCACATAAACAGAATCAATGGCAAAAACCACATGATTATCTTAATAAATCCTGAAAAGCCCTTCGACAACATTCAACACAACTTCATGACAAAAACTCTAAATAAACTAGGTATTGATGGAACATATTTCAAAATAATCACAGGTACTTATGACAAAACCACAGCCTGGAAGCACCTGGAAACTTTCATTTTAAAAACCTGCACAAGACAAGGATACCCCCTTTCTCACCACTCCTATTCACCACAGTTTTGGAAGTTTTGACAAGGGCCATCAGGCAAGAGAAAGAATGAAGTGTATTCAAATGGAATAAGCGGAAGTCAAATTGTCTTTGTTTGCAGATCTCAAGATTGTATATTTAGAAAACCCCACTATCTCAGCTCACACAAATCACAAGCTTTCCTGTACACCAATATCAGACAAGCAGAGAGTCAAATCATGAGTGATCTCACATACACAGTTGCTACTAAGAGAATAAAATACCTAGGTATAAAATATACAAAGGATGTGAAGGACCTTTTCAAAAACTACAAACCACAGCTCAAGGAAATAAGAGAGGACACAAATACATGGAAAAACATTCCATGCTCATTATAGGAAGAATCAATATTTTGAAAATGGCCCTACTGTGCAAAGCAATTTATAGATTCAATGCTATCCCCATAAACCTACCATCTAACAATGGACAATCTATCCATCTGACAACAGACCAATATCCACAATCTACAAAGAACTTAAACAAATTTATGAGAAAAAAACTAAACCAACCCATGAAAAACTGAGTGAAGGATATGAACAGATGCTTCTCAAAAGAAGACAGGTATGCAGCCAACAAATATATGAAAAAAACTCATCATCACTGGTCATTAGAGAAATGCAAATCGAAACCACAATGAGATACCATCTCATGCCAATTAGAAAGGTGATCATTAAAAAGTCAGGAAACAACAGATGCTGGAGAGGATGTGGATAAATAGGAATGCTTTTACACTGTTGGTGGGAGTGTAAATTACTTCAACCATTGTGGAATACAGTCTGATGATTCCTTAAGGATCTAAAACCAGAAATAGCATTTGACCCAGCAATGTCATTTTGGGTTATATACCCAAAGGATTATAAATAATTCTACTATAAAGACACATGCACCCTTCTGTTTATTGAAGCATTGTTCACAATAGCAAAGACTTGGAACCAACCCAGATGTCCATCAGTGATAGACTGGATAAAGAAAATGTGGCACATATACACAATGGAATACTAAGCAGCCATAAAATAGGCTGAGTTTATGTCATTTGCAGGGACATAGGTGAAGCTGGAAAGCATCACCCTCAGCAAAATAACACAAGAACAGAAAGCCAAACACTGCATGTTCTCACTCATAATTTGTAGTTGTACAATGAGAACATATGGACATAGGGAGGGGACATCACACACCAGTGCCTGTTGGGGGTAGGGGACTAGTGGAGGGATAGCTTTAGGAGAAATATATAATGTATATGATGATTTGATGGGCTCAGCAAACCACCATGGTGGATGAATACCCATGTAACAAAACTGCACTTTCTGTACATGTACCCCAGAACTTAAAGTATATAAAAAATACATATAGACATATACTATACATGAATTAAAATATATATAATGTATAAATTTAATCTATATGCAATACATATATATTATAAAATATACAGATACGTATATTGAACATGTTTAGGAACACATATTTATAAATTAGTTATATAACATAGGTTTTATACATACATTAAATTATAAGATATTAACTTAAAAGTATAAATTATACTTTTCTATCATATGTAAATTTTATATTACTTGATGGACAGTAAGAACTTTTACATGGTACATACCTAATGATTACCATATAATACTTAGGCATAAATAATTTTAACTCTGGTTAAAAGAGTGAAGTCAAATACTAGAAGGAATTCAGAGGAAAGTTGTAACAATAAAAAATCACCTACATACTCAGCATCGCTATCTGAATATTATTTACACCATCAGCCAAGTAACATTCGGCAAAGCACAACTTATACAGTCACATAAAATGACTGCTTGTATCACCTCCTCTGCCATTACGTTTGTTGAAGCATCATCATTTGTTTGGTCTCTCTGCTTGATTCTGATACTCACTTGTAGCTTAGTTTGTTCTCCTGGTAGCCAGAATTATACTTGGAATAAAACCAAAAGGATTTGTCTTTGATCTCACTTAAGCGTTTTCCTTTGTTCATCTTGCTACATGATGACAGTATGACTGTTTGCTTAATTCTAGTGTCAGAATTATTTCAATGATTATGTTCTCTGCCTGGAATTCTATTCCTCCAAATATGTTCCTAGATTACTTCCCCAAAGGTTTAGTCTTTGCTCAGTTAAAGCATTTTTAAAGACACTTGACTTCTGGCTTAGGATTGACTTGGCAATGCAGGCTTTTTTGGTTCCATATGAACTTTAAAGTAGTTTTTTCCAGTTCTGTGAAGAAAGTCATTGGTAGCTTGATGGGGATGCCATTGAATCTATAAATTACCTTGGGCAGTATGGCCATTTTCATGATATTGATTATTCCTATCCATGAGCATGGAATGTCCTTCCATTTGTTTGTATCCTCTTTAATTTCATTGAGCAGTGGTTTGTAGTTCTCCTTGAGGAGGTCCTTCAAGTCCCTTGTAAGTTGGATTCCTAGGTATTTTATTCTCTTTGAAGCAATTGTGAATGGGAGTTCACTCATGATTTGGCTCTCTGTCTGTTATTGTTGTATAAGAGTGCTTTGATTTTTGCACATTGATTTTGTATGCTAAGCCAAAAGAACAAAGCAGGAGGCATCATACTACCTGACTTCAAACTATACTACAAGGCTACAGTAACCAAAATAGCATGTTACTGGTACCAAAAAAGAGATATAGACCAATGGAACAGAACAGAGCCATCAGAAACAATGCTGCATATCTACAACTATCTGATCTTTGAAAAACCTGACAACAACAAGCAAAGGGGAAAGGATTCCCTATTTAATAAATGGTGCTGGGAAAACTGGCTAGCCATATGTAGAAAGCTGAAACTAGATCCCTTCTTTACACCTTCTACAAAAATTAATTCAAGAGGGATTAAAGACTTAAATGTTAGACCTAAAACCATAAAAACTGTAGAAGAAAACCTAGGCAATACTATTCAGGACATAGGAGTGGGCAAGGACTTCATGTCTAAAACACCAAAAGCAATGGCAACAAAAGCCAAAATTGACAAATGGGATCTAATTAAACTAAAGAGCTTCTGCACAGCAAAATAAACTACCATTAGAGTGAACAGGCAACCTACAGAATGGGAGAAAATTTTTGCAATCTACTCATCTGACAAAGGACTAATATCGATAATCTACAATGAACTCAAACGAATTTACAAGAAAAAAACAAACAAAACCATCAAAAAGTGGGTGAAGGATATGAACAGATACTTCTCAAAAGAAGACATTTATGCAGCCAACAGACACAAGAAAAAATGCTCATCATCACTGGCCATCAGAGAAATGCGAATCAAAACCACAATGAGATACCATCTCACACCAGTTAGAATGGTGATTATTAAAAAGTCAGGAAACAACAGGTGCTGGAGAGTATGTGGAGAAATAGGAACACTTTTACACTGTTGGTGGGACTGTAAACTAGTTTAACCATTGTGGAAGACAGTGTGGCGATTCCTCAGGGATCTAGAACTAGAAATACCATTTGACCCAGCCATCCCATTACTGTGTATATACCCAAAGGATTGTAAATCATGCTGCTATAAAGACACATGCACACATTTGTTTACTGCGGCATTATTCACAATAGCAAAGACTTGGAACCAAACCAAATATCCAACAATGATAGACTGGATTAAGAAAATGTGGCACATTTACACCACGGAATACTATGCAGCCTTAAAAAATGATGAGTTCATGTCCTTTGTAGAGACATGGATGAAGCTGGAAACCATCATTCTCAGCAAACTATCACAAGGACAAAAAACCAAACACCGCATTTTCTCACTCATAGGTGGGAATTGAACAATGAGAACACTTGGACAGAGGGTGGGGAACATCACACACCGGGGCTTGTTGTGGAGTGGGGGGAGGGGAGAGGGGGGAGGGATGGCATTAGGAGATATACCTAATGCTAAATGAAGAGTTAATGGGTGCAGCACACCAATATGGCACATGTATACATATGTAACAAAGTTTCACGCTGTGTACTTGTACCCTAAAACTTAAAGTATAATTAAAAAAAAATAAAGACATGTGACTTCAAAAATACTTCTTCCAATATCTCCCTATCACCTAATTAACTATGAACTGTAGTTGACGTAAAAATGTTTGTAAAATGTGCTTAGGTTAAATGTGCCAATGTTATTGATAGTACCCTTACTACTTTTAATGTTTGGATGGAAAAGCAATAAAAGTAGAATAAGCCAAGAAACCATTTTCAAAGTGGTGGTTAGCAGATACCACCACCTTCTTCAAGAAACAGAAGCCCTTCAGGAAGTCTAAGATCTGCAAGAGGAAGTAGTGGAGGAACAGGAGGGTGGCTGCCTTCACATGAAGGGCACTTGGGTAATGTTTTAAAATATGAAGGTGGAACCATAAGACTGAAAGAAAATAAGTTTGAAGATATCAAAATTTCTCAATTTTATTTATTATCTTTATGAACAGAACATTTATTATTCATTTATTTCTAACTAGCAAAGGTTTATTATAAGAATGATTGAATTAATATCTAAAATTCATTTTAAAAGTGTAATAACTTTGCATTGAAATAAGGCAAATTTCAAACAGAATTGATTTTATGAATGCTGATTGCCTGTAAACCGGTTTTCTGAAGAAGTCATTTATATTCATTATACTTTAGCGTTTTCTACTCTGGGGCCCAGAACTTCATATCGGTTTTATCATCAAAATACAATGGAATATTTAAAACTTTCAAATAGGAAAAAGTATCTCAGTACTTAAGATTGATTTTGCAATATTTGTTTTTTTGTGTATTCATGTGCAAACATCTGTGCAAGTCAATTGCTTAGTAATTTTGATACAGAGAGTTTGTACATCAGACTGCCTTAAAGCATTTTCAGTTTAAGAAATGTAGAGCTTTAATTTCTGAAAAGAGTTTGTGACCCTGGAAGTGTCTAAGAACTACTGCTTCACTGGTATGTAAGTATCTTTCTTTACTGGAGGCTGAGTCACTGAAAATGATATTTATGAGTGATTTATGCTATAGAAATAAGGGGTCAATTTTTACATAAAAAAGAAAATCAAATCATGTATTTTACATATATATAAAATATATATAGATACATAGATATATCTATATATCTCTATCTCTATCTATCTATCTAGCTATCTATCATCTATCTATCTATCTATATCATGGGCTGGGTGAGGTGGCTCATGCCTGTCATCTCAGCACTTGGGAAATATGGGACAGATGGACCAAGAGGTCAAGAGTTCCACACAAGCCTGGCCAACATGATGAAAACCTGTCTCTCCTAAAGATACAAAAAATTAGCCTGGCATGGTGCCTTACAGCTCTACTCCCAGGTACTCAGGAGGCTGAGGCAGGAGAATCACTGGAAATACGGAGTTGGAAGCTGCAGTGAGCCAAGATAATGCCATTGTACTCTAGCCTGGGGGATAGGGCAATAGTCCATCTCAATAAATAAACAAATAAATTAACCCATTGGTTAACTTGTATTATCTATTAACCAACCTTCAAAAATATACTATTTAATTTCGAGTTTTAATAACCAGATTTTTTATTAATTGGAGATGTTTTTTAAAGTTGAAATTACAGTGTTTCCTCCATTTTAAGATACACAGCTTCGTGATTATTTCATCTCCATTGATCTGGAGGGTGGGGTTCAATTACACTCTGCGTTGTATAAGAATGTGCGTCTTCTAACTTGTAACAGCGCCTGGCAATTGGCATATATCTACATTTTTGTAGATATATGAAAATATTTTTATATTATTTAATATGCAATTCTTAAAGATTATTAATATTTAGCATAGTCTAATCTGAAAATTAGCATTTCATAAGGGAATTGTAAGAATTCAATGTTATGTTAACAAATTTTAGGGATGATGTATTTTCCTGATGTGTCACCTTTTGATTTTGTAAATATTTTAATTTCTTTGCATGGAATTTAGTTTATCTTTATGATTTGCTTTGGAAATTTTTCCTCATAACAGAATGATAAAAACAGTCATTTATCATTTTTCTTTTAATATTTTATGTATATTATACTTAGATATTTTACTGATAGATTTCTGCTCCCAGTTCACTCTCCATTCTTCCCACATCTCTATCTCTCACCAACATATTATGACTCGAGTTTCTTACTAGATTTTCTAAACAGACTTTTATTGCTTGAATTGTACTTCTTTCATGTAGAAATGTTAATTTTATTACTTTAGACAAATGTGAATTTGCAAGATTATAATATGTAGAAAATCTTTATAAACAATTAAAACTTAGTCCGTTAGGATGGAGGCTTACTCTTCCCAGGTCAGAGTGCATAGGTGAGATGATGGCTTACTACACCCTCAAATTCCTGGGCTCAAGCAATTGTCCTGTTTCAGCTTTCTCAGTTGCTGCAACTACAGGCATGCACCACCACATCTAGCTAAATTTTTTCCCTATATTTTTGTAGAGAGAGGATCTCACCACATTATCAAAACTGACATTAAAGTCTTAGGCTCAAGCAATCCAGGTGCCTCAGACTTCTACACTGGCCCACAGTGTGGGCCAGTGAGCCTGGCATCTCGGTTCCGAGACCTCAATATTTCTTATGCACAAGGCATTTTTAATGCTTATATAAAGGTTCAAAAAAACTACAAGAGCATTTGGCAGAAAAAGAGGCACTGGGCTTAAATATTATTTAAAAATAAATTTAAGGCTTCAAAGGTAAACATGAAGGAGTCTAATATTCTTAAATTAAGTGGATATCACAGAAGTGCAGAGTTGTGAAATACAATGGAATGTAAATCAATAATTAAGATTGTACCTGGATGTTTAAACATTAACACAAGACCTTAGTGTAAGATTTAAAATTATTTGAGGAGAGAATTTAGAACTAAGCAACATGAGTTGAGCAGTAGGATTGAATAGAAATAATATTTTTGAGAAGGAGAATTGTAAGATTGCAGACTGAACAGAAGAAAGCAAGACAATAAATCAAAGTTCTTAGCGATGACTTTTAGCAGAACAAAATAAAATTGTTACTTATTCCTCCATCCTAATATGGAGGAAATTGAAAACTGCCATTTTAAATTTAACATTTCATGTGTAGAGTATCAGTGAAGTTAGGTATTTATTGAATTCAGGATACACAAGCCAACACATTTCCATAGGAAAATTAGCTGGTGAACATATCATAAGTGAAAGGTGGACCTCTAAGTAATAGCACGTGAAGAGTATATTAAAGGAGAGTCTTTTCTATTTTGAAATAACAACAATGTTGTCATGATCCCTTTAACAGTATTGCTTATTGCAGTATAAGTAAATCTTGGTCATCGTTAGAAAATATTCACTAGTATACTTTAATTTGTCAACATTTATGATAAAGCCAACCACTTAGAGATAAAGGAGAAATTTTATGTAAAAGTTTAGCATGCAGTCATTCAAAGGTAGCAGTATTTGTGTGTGTGAGATGGACTGAACAGCATGGGAAAATTTACCTTCTTCAGCTGAGAAAGGACAATGTATGTAAATTTGAAAATCAGTGAAGAGTTTGATGGTTTTACATTTTTCCATGTGTCATTAGTAGTCATCAGTAATTCATATAAAAAGGAAAATCATAACTAAGTTGTAATTAACTATTACAAATGAACCTTTACCAAAGAATTTATGTCTGCCATCAGCTTTGTTAGAACTAGCCTTGCAGGAGCCATGGGATTATCCAAAGCCATAAGAAACATTCACAGTGTCATGATTTTCTAGTAATTTAGGGAAAAAAGAGTGGAGACATAGAAGAAATAATTTTAAAAAGTTGTTTGAGAGAAGAGAAAATAATGTTTCAGATTTGGTGTTCTTACATTATGTTCCTTCATTTTAGCATTAAATTTAATGGAAGAGAGAATTATGGAGGTCCTCCACTCGAGAAGCCAATCACTTCATGGAGAAATGACCATATGTTGTCAAGAGATGGTGGTTATGGAATTAAGGATAGGTAAAAGAAAAATCCCACTTAGCTGGAATTACAGACACACACCACCATGCTCAGCTCTTGTGTTTGTGTGTGTGTGTGGTAGGGACAATGCTTCCATATATTGTTCAGACTGGTCTTCCAGTCTTAAGTGATCCTCCTTCCTTGGCCTCACAATGTGTTGTGATTATAGCTGTGAGCCACTGAGTCTGGCATATCACTTATTAGTATGAGTGACATTCCACCTTCGCTGTTTTAATTCTTCTCAGATATACAATAAATCATTATTAAGTGTAATCATCCTGGGCTACTGAACACTAGATTGTATTCCTTCTAAGCAACCACAATTTAACCCACCCCCTTCCCCTCTTTGATCTCAAGGTGTTGGCCAGGCTGGTCTTGAACTACTGACCTCTGGTGATCCACCCACCTCATCCTCCCAAAGTGCCGGGAGTACAGGAGTGAGCCACTGTGCTCAGCCTTTTCTTCAGCCTTTAATATCATCTATCTTTGAAAGCATAAGCAATTAAAATATTATTTTCTTTTCCTTTTTCTTTTGAGATGGAGTCTCACTCTTGTTTCTCAGGCTGGAGTGCAATGGCACCTTCTCAGCTCATCGCAACCTCCACCTCCTGGGTTCAAGCAATTCTCCTGCCTCAGCCTCCCAAGTAGCTGGGATTACAGGCATGCACCACTATGCCTGGCTAATTTTTTATTTTTAGTAGAGACCAGGTTTCTCTGCTTTCCTGATTATACACCCTAAAGAAATGAAATACATGAAGTTCCAGAAGTTTTACAGTCCATAATTCTTACAATTAACATACTAATCTGCAAGGAGGAAGCATTTTCTTCGTAAAATTTTGACAAGATCATCAATTTTTAGAGGGTAAGTGTGGAAATAATTTTAAAGACAGAAGTTACCAACTTTGAATTTCAAGTGAGTTCTTCATGTTATGAAGTTGTGTTTTCATTCACCTATAATGTAGTATTGTGAGGACGAAGTGAAAAGATAAAACTCCCTAGTCTTGTGTATGTTACTGTCCAGGTGTGATGGCTCAGTCTTTTAATTCCAGCACTTTGGGAGGCTGAGACTTGCAGATCACTTTAGGTCAGGGGTTTGAGACAAACCTGGCCAACACTATGAAACCCTATTTCTACCTGAAATAAAAAAAATTATCTGGGCTTGACGGCCCATGCTTGTAGTATGTTATAGTTAATTGGGAGGCTCAGGCAGGACAATTTTTTGACCCTGTGGGCCTAAGGCTGAAGTGAGCTGATATTGCACCTTGCACTGTAGCCTGAGTGACAGAGCAAGACTCCAAATCAAAATCAACAAATATATAAATAATACATAGCTTATCCTTCATTTCAAGCACTTTTTTTTTTTTTTTTTTTTTTAGACACAGGGTCTCACTCTGTTGTCCAGCCTGGACTGCATTGGCACCATCGTACCTCACTGCAGCCTTGAACTCCTGGGTTCAAATAAGTGAGACTTCCATTTCAGCCTCCCAAGTAGATAGAATTATAGACACACACCACTGTGCCCCACTTTTGTGTTTGTGTGTGTGTGGTAAGGACAATGCTTTGGATATATTGTTCAGGTTGGTCTCAGACTCTGAGGTTTAAGTGTCCTCCTTCCTTGGCCTCTGAACGTGTTGTGATTATAGCCTTGAAACACTGAGTTGGGCATATTGTTTCCAGAGTTGCTTCCTTCTGGTGCATTCTTGGTCTTTCTGACTTCAAGAGTGAAACCTTGGACCTTCAAGTTGAGTGTTACAACTCTTAAAGATGGTGTGTCTGGGGTTTATTCCTTCAGATGTTCAGATGCATCCAGGGTTTCTTCCTTCTGGTGAGTTCCTGGTCTTGCTGACTTCAAGAATGAAGCCACAGACATTCTTGGCCAGTATTGCAGCTTTTTTTTTTTTTTTTTTTTTTTTTTTTTTGAGACGGAGTCTCGCTCTGTCGCCCAGGCTGGAGTGCAGTGGCGTGATCTCGGCTCACTGCAAGCTCCGCCTCCCGGGTTCACGCCATTCTCCTGCCTCAGCCTCCCGAGTAGCTGGGACTACAGGCGCCCGCTACCACGCCCGGCTAATTTTTTGTATTTTTAGTAGAGACGGGGTTTCACCGTGTTAGCCAGGATGGTCTCGATCTCCTGACCTCGTGATCCACCCGCCTCGGCCTCCCAAAGTGCTGGGATTACAGGCGTGAGCCACCGCGCCCGGCCTATTGCAGCTTTTAAAGTTGGTGTGGACCCAAAGAGTGAGCAGCAGCAAGACTTATTGTGAAGAGTGAAAGAACAAAGCTTCCACAGCATGGAAGGGGACCTGCATGGGTTGCCACTCTGGGGTGGGGTGGCTGGCTTTTATTTCTTTATTTGGCCCCACCCACATCCTGCTGATTGGTCCATTTTGCAGAGTGCTGATTGGTCCGTTTTACATCCTGCTGATTGGTCCATTTTTCAGAGTGCTGATTGGTCCGTTTTACAGAGTGCTGATTGGTGCATTTACAATCATTTAGTTAGACACAGAGCACTTATTTGTGAGATTTTACAGAGTGGTGATTGGTGTATTTACAATCCTTTAGCTAAACAGAAAAGTTCTCCAAGTCCCCACTCGACCCATGAAGTCCAGCTGTCTTCACCTCTCAATGCCCCAACTGCTGTTGGGAATTGGGCAATGACCACTCTAGCTACTTCCTGCTGGGTAGAGGTGAAGAAGGGGCCCTCCAGTGTTAGTGTCCTCTACAGGGGAACTCTCTAGGCCAGCCAAAGGGCCAGAGGGATGATCCAAGGTCTTTGGTAGAAGTTGTTAGTTGAGCTCATTTGGGGTTCCATTTGTAAGACCACCTGTAACCTCGATCCTATAGGAAATAAATATGACAAGGTGGTTAAAAATACAGGGGCCTGAAGGCGAGTAATAGCAAGATGGCTGTCCTGGGACCTGGAAAGGGAAGAAGTCATAATGCCCAACACCAGAATTTGGTATAAGAGTTTGAAAGGAATTGTCTGATTTCAGAAGCCTTTTCCTTTAAATGCCGGGCGGCATCTTATACTATCCCTGACTGGTTGTAGAGCTTTCCTTTCTCAGCAGTGAGGAAGTCTAGGCCTTGGCAGTTTTGGAGAGTCACTGCTGCCAAAGAGTCTATTTTGGATTGCAGAGAAAGGATAGATTTTGTTATTTTTCACAAACTGTCTGAGAAATCCTTTGAGAGTGTGAGGTAGTAGGATAAAACATGTTACACTGCTAACTTTTAGCAAATTTTACTTTCGTTGAAAACCTTCTAATTTTGGGATTTCAATTATTCTTTGCTATTAATAAGACCTCATTCAGTCCCTATTAACTTAGAAATTGTATAGATGGCTCCTTCCTGATTCTGTAAGTACATTAAGGTTTGACTGAGTGAAAACAGCTGTCATGTTTGAGCAGACAAATTATTAGGTAATTTTCCTAATTGCTTCTACAAGTGTTCCCTTATCACTTACTGAATACCCATTCTGTCTTTTCCCCTTAATTGCCTGGAAAGAACTATCTATCATCCTGTCCTGAAGGGAGCTCCTCATAGGTCTGGTTGGACTTTTGTATGGTAATTAGTTAAGACTTAGATCCCCTGTTAGGAAACCTGCCGTGTTTAACATTTTTAATAGGAGGGCTAGGGGTTGTCAGTAGCCTTAGTGATTTCAGGCTATGCCCTTGTTTACACTGACAACAAGGTGGTATTGGTGTGTTACCGGGTCATTGAGAAGACCTTCAATTATCAATTATAGGTTTTAAATTTACCCTGGCTTTTAAAGGAATAGGGTACACTGTTTTTTCTTTACCACTTCTATCTCTTTCCCTCTCTTTGGCTCCTTCTTTGTTTGTCTCTTCCTCTCTCTCTTCCCTTATGTATTTGACTTTGTCTCTCTCTTCCCTTCTGTATTTGACTTTGTCTCTTTTTCTTTCTCTCTGACTCCCTCTTTGCCTATCTCTTCCTCTCTTTGTCTCTTTCTAACTGTCTGTCTCTTTCTCTCTCTTTGACTCTTTCTTTGTCTGTCTCTTCCTCTCTTTCCTTCTGTCTTTGACTTTGTCTCTCTCTTTCTCTTTCTTTCTCTCTGAATCCCTCTTTGTGTGTCCCTTCCTCTCTCTCTCTCTCTCTCTCTCTCCTGACTTTCTGTCTCTTCCTCTGTCTCTCTGTTTCTTTCCTGTCTGTTGGTCTTTCTCTGACGCTGCCAGCCATTCATGCTGCTGTTCTCCCCTCTCCTTCCACTTATGATGGCTTTGGCAGTGTAAGACTGCCACCTCCTTGGACTTTTGCACAGCATTCAATAACTCCATGGTTTCCTCATGATATTTAATGGAGGTTTCTCCAGAGGTTAGGAATTCATTTTCTTTCCATATTGCAGGATGGGCATGTAGGATTAGATAAGCATATTTACTATCCATATACACATTTATTCTTCCCTTTCCCAGTTCAAATGCTTGGGTAAGTGCCACTAGTTCTGTTAACTGGGGGCTGGTCTCTGGTGAAGAGGCTTGCTTTCAAGTACTGTTACACCCCTAATTATGGCATAACCTGACCTTCATATCCCATTCTCCACAAATGAACTTTCATTGGTATATAGGTTAAGGTCAGGATTAACTAAGGGGACTTCTAAGAGATCTTCTTGGGAGGCATAATTTTGGACTTTAATTTGTTGGCAGTCATGCTCGATTAGTGTTTCCCATCCTCTAGGAGAAAAATGGCATGGTTGAGGCCTGCACATATGCATATTTGAAGCATATGTCCCTCAAAGAGTAGTACCTCCTATCTAAGCAAGCTGTCATCTGATAGCCATAAACTTCCTTTGTCACCTAGTGTGCCATTTACATCATCAGTAGTCCAGACAGTGAGATCCTTTCCTTGAATTATTTTGATAGCCTCTGACACTAAGATGGCCACCACCACTACTACCAGTAAACAGTGAGGATGGCCTTTTGCTACTACATCAATTTCCTTACTTATGTATGCCACTGGTTGTGTGGTTGTCCCAAGAGTTTGAGTAAGGACTCTAAGAGCTATTCTTACTCTTTCTGTGACATATAAAGAGAAGTTTTGTCCTGTGGGAAGGCTTAAGGCTGGAGCTTGAGTTTGTTTCTTCTAATCCCCCAGACTTCAGGGTTGACTACCTCCTCAAGCAGGGGACAAGAAATGGGTAACTTTTTCCCCATATTCATGTAGACAATAGTGCCAGCTTTGGCCAGTATGTCCCTCCCTAATAAAGTATGAGTCGTTCAGGCATAACAAGAAAAGCATGTGAAAAGAGAAAAGTCTCCCAATTACAACTGAATAAGTGGGAGAAACACCTGGTTACAGGCCATCCCAGGATTCCTTAGATGGTAACGGACCTTGAGGAAAGCTGTCCAGGACAGGAGATTAACACTGAGAAGGCTGCACCAGTGTCCAGGAGGAAGTCAATTTCCTGGTCCTCCACAGTTAAATGTACCTGGGGCTCAGTGAGGCTGATGACATGAGCTGGTGCTTGTCCCAGGCACCCTCCTGCCTGTTGTTGGAGCATCTGGTTGGGGGCCTCTGGCCTAGAGAACCTTTGTCCTCTGGGGCAGTGAGCCTTCCAGTGATTGTTTTGGCATAGTGGACATGGGCAAGAAGGCAGCTTGTTTCTTGTGGGACAATCTGTTTTAAGGTGCCCTTGCAAACCACACTGGTAAGAAACCCTACCATGCAATTGGCCTGCTCCATTTTCTGTCCTCTCTGAACCACCAAGGTTTGTTTATCTGAGGGCCATGACTAAGGCTGCAGCCTTTCTCTGATCTCACTTTTCCTTTTTGGCCAGTTCCTCTTGGTCCCTATAATAGAACACCAAGGTTGCCAGGTTTATTAAAGCCTCCAGATTTTGTTCAGGGCCCAGCTCTGATTTTTGGAGCATTCTCCTGATATCTGCAGCTGATTGGGTAATAAACTTATCTTTCAGGATCAATTGACTCTTGAGGGAGTCAGGTGACAGGTAAGAATATTTCCTTAAGGAAATACAGCTATTTCCTTCCTGTAGCTGCTCGAGGAAGGCAGAATGATTTTTTTCCTATGCCAGAGTTATGATGGACATCATTGCATCATTCATGAGCTTTTTCCTAATTCTCCTTAGTCCTTCTAGAACACAGGTCAACAGATGTGTGTGAAATCAGTCCCAATAATCTGAGTTGAGAACCCAGTGGGGTTCCATACTGGGGATGACTTGCTTACGGGTAGGGAATTTGTCCCTTTCTTCAGCTGTCATTCTATCATTTACTTGACTAAGATGCCAGGTATCTCCAAACTCCTGGGCAGCAGCTAAAGCCACATTCTTTTCATTAAAGGCCAGGATTTGATCTAACAATAGCATGGCATCTGTCCAAGTGAGGTCAAAGTTTTGCCCTGGACCCTGCAGGACATCTATGTACCTATCAGGATCATCTGAAAACTTCCCCAGCTCTGCCTTGATTGGCTTTAAATCAGGGAGGGAGAAGGGGACTTGTACCCAGGTTGGGCCAAATTCTCCTCCCCCTACAGCCTGAAGGGGACAGAATCGATAGCCCAGGGTTTTTTGTGGTCCTTTGCAGATTTCTTTGCTTGTTTCCTTCTGGGAGGAGGAGATTAGAGGAGGCTTACTAATAGGAAGGGGAGCTATATGGAGGCTAGGATATGGGGGTAAGCTGAAAGGCCCTCCTGTGGGATGTAAATGTCAAGCTTTCCATAGTTGTGGATTCTCCTTCAATGAAAACAAAGCTTGGACATAAGGTAGTTCACTCCACTTGCCTTGTCTCTTACAGAAAAGGTCAAGCTGCAGGATAGTATTGTAATTTATGCTGCCCTCAGGTGGCCATTTTTCCCCACCAGAGAGAGAATATTGGGGCCAGGCCATAGTGCAGAAAAAAATGAGCCACCTCTTTTTCAGGGTTTGTGGATCAAATTGGTCCCAATGGCTTAGGATGCATTTCAATGGTGAGCCTGTTGATGCCTGAATGTTTCCCATCTGAAAGACAAAACTGCCCACAGTTTTGGTTTGTTTGTTTCTCTCCCTGCCCAAGAAACTGCAATGGTCCCTGGACCCTGCTGATCAGAATAGTTGTGCTCACTGATGCAGCAGCAGAAACACCTCTTGCCCAAGAACCTGCAATGGTCCCTGGACCCTGCTGATTGGAATAGTTGCACTCACAGACGCAGCAGCAGAAACACTAGTTTCCTTCCTAGACCACAAGGAGGACCGAGGAAGGTTGGATTTATTGTCCCTTACCGACACACTCTCAAAAACCTGCACTATTTCCTGTCCTCCTAGACCACAAAGAGGAATGAGAAAAATCAGATTTAGTGGCCCTTACTGATTCATTCTTGAAAAACTGTTAGAGTCCTAAGCATTCTCTCATTAGTATTGGGACTTCACTCCTGTCCTATAAAGATGCTATGCCTCAAAAATGAAGTGGAGGGCCATACCCTGAGGGAGGGAAGGGATCTCCAGGGTTGGAAGAGTGATGACTTTTGTCCTCACTTGAATAGGAAGGATACGATTTCTGAAGCTCCCCATATCCTAGCTTCAGGGGTAGCTTTGTTAGGCCTGCTATTCTGAGGAGTGATCCTAAAATTCTAGATAAGATAGTCCCCCAAGACCACTGACAGGGCTTTGGGCAAAAATTATGTCTTTCTGATTGGTGAGCCTGGGTGCCTAAAGAAGGGAATAGAGTCCTGGAGTTTATAGCAGAAATCATTCTTATAGGTTCTAGATAAGCACCAGAGAGAGGGAGTGGTTTTTCTGTCTGGTGCTAGAAAACCACGAGAGACAGGGAGTGGTTTTTAGAATCAGGAATAGCCTTGGAGAAGAGGCAAGAGGAAGTTTGTCTGACAGGCATTAGGATCCAGTGTGCAAAGGTCAGAGGTCAGGATAGATAGGATAGATGGGTGAGTCTCGCTTGTGCAACGTGACTTTGAGAGTTCTGCTCATGGCCACAGGGTCAACCAATTTGCTCTTGGGACCCTGGAGCAGAATGGTTTTCCTCTCTGTTGACCCTCACCTCAGCCCAGAAGTACAGGGAAATCAGAAGCTCTTTCCAGGCAAACCAATTCTCTCAACTGTGAAGAGTTGGGGGTTGTTACAGAGCACTTTCCCAGAAAGTCTGTCACCCGTGTCTTTAGTCCAGCAGCCACACTAGTCACTTCTAACTGGCTGACAGGTGCCTGGTATGTAACATCCAAATTCTAAGGAAAAATAGGACAGAATAACAAGTGAAAGGGGTCCGATGGTACTCACTGCTTTGTGATAGGCGATAGTCCCTTTGTGGTCACCATAACCTGTCTGGAATTTATTCCTTCTTGTGGGTTCTTGGTCTCGCTGACTTCAAGAATGAAGCCGCAGACCTTCGTGGTGAGTGTTACAGCTTGTAAAGATGGTGTGGACCCAAAGAGTGAGCAGCAGCAACATTTATTGTGAAGAGTGAAAGAAAAATCTTCCACAGTATGGAAGGTGACCCAAGCAGGTTGCCGCTGCTGGGTGAGGTGGCCAGCTTTTATTCTCTTATTTGGATCCACCCACGTCCTGCTGATTGGTGCATTTACAATCCTTTAGCTAGATACAGAGTGCTGATTGGTGCATTTTTATAGAGTGCTGATTGGTGCATTTACAATCCCTTAGCAGACAGAAAATTTTTTCAAGTCCCCACTTGATCCAGGAAGTCCAGGTGGCTTCACCTCTCCCTAGGACCTCCAAGAAAAAAATAGGGATTTAAATAGACATTCAAGCACTTCTGAAACTGTTTTTCCCTGGCTTACTGGATCTCAAGCAGTCAAGAAAGCTCAGCTCCCACTTTATACCTTGAAGAACTTAGATTGTACATCTAACACCTTGACTTTTTTTTTTCTTATTTCTCTTGTGATGGAGTCTTGCTCTGTCACCTGGGCTGGAGTGCAATGGCATGATCTTGGCTCACTGCAACCCCCGCCTCCTGGGCTCAAGTGATTCCCCTGCCTCAGCCTACTGTTTAGCTGGGAATACAGGTGACCACAACCATGCTAGGCTAATTTTTGTATTTCTTAGTAGAGACAAGGTTTCACCATGTTTGTCAGGCTGGTCTCAAATTCCTGACCTCAGGTAATCCCCAACCTCAGCCTCCCAAAGTGCTGGGATTACAGGCTTGAGCCACCACACCTGGCCATGTCTTGACTTTTATAACTTCTGCCCAGGTATCTTGCTCGTAATCCTCCTGACTTTTGGATCTGTCAAGGTCCTCTGAGAGCAAGCACATAGGCATTTCTCATCAGCCTTCATCATCACTCACTCTAGCAATATACTGAGCTTCCAAATTTTCCTTCCAAGAAGTCAAACTACCCAACTATGGCCCTGACATCTAGGTTGCTGCCTAAGAGTTTCAATACTAACTTTCTAATCTCTGGAAACTAATGAATTCCAGCTTTTTGTAGTCCCAGGATACTAAAGAGAAAAAATGATCGTCTTACCATAACTCTGCATGATTTTTAAACTTGCCTATTGTTATAGTTTTGACATTTGTCCCTCCAAGCCTCAGGCTGAAATGTGGTCCTCCACACTGTAAATAGCACGAAGGTGAGGTGTTGGTTTGTGTCATGGTGCTGGATCCCTCATAAATGGCGTGGCACCCTGGCCATGGTTAATAAGTGAGTTTTCTACTGTATTAATTCCCACAATGAAGCTTATATAGAAATAGGTTGTTGAAAAGAGCTTGATACCATCTCCCCTTCTCTCTCTTGCTCTTTCCACATATGACATGCCTGTTTTCATTTATCTTCTGTGCTGAGTGGAAGCCTCGTGAAGCTCCCACCAGATGCAGATGCTGGCACCACACACATCTTTTACAGTCTGCAGAACAAGGAATCAATGAAAGCTATTTTCTTTATAAACTTTCCAGTCTCATCCTTTCATAGGAACACAAGAAGACTTAACCATGTATCTCTGGCTGATAATGTGCCTTTATCGGTAAACAGTGTACCTCAGCATTCACTATTTCTTGCGTTCCATAGGGGACAAAGAAGTGGTTTTTGATGGTCCCATGAGATATTCCTTAAATCCAAACCTTGGCTTTCTCTAACTTTCAGGTTCTCCATGAAGCACCCCAACGTTTTACACTCCTCCCTTTGGATGAGGTTTTTTTTTCTTTTTTCTTTTTTTTGAGATCCAGTCTCACTCTGTCACCCAGGTTGGAGTGCAGTGTCATGATCTCAGCTCACTTTGACCTCCATCTGCTGGGTTCACGAGATATTCCTTCCTCAACCTTCCAAGTAGCTAGGACTACAGGTAAATGCCAACAGGCTCAGCTAATTCTTTTTTTTTTGTATGTCTAGCAGAGAGGAGATTTCACTGTGTTATCCAGGATGGTCTTGACCTCCTGACCTCATGATATGCCTTCCTCATCCTACCAAAGTTCTGGGGTTACAGACATGAGCCACTGTGCTCAGCATGGACCAGTGTTTTAACTTGGCTGTTTCTAGGGTCTGGTGTGACAGAACAGGCATTCTATGATTCTGCTAATTCCTACCTCTCCAGCAAAAAACTCAGCTCACAACTATCCTTAGATAAGGATACCTTAGTGAATGATTCTATAACTTGAGGTTGAATATATGACACCTTTTTTGACTAGAACTGAGAATAGCCACACACAAAGGATAAAAGAATAATTTTAATTTGATGTTTTAAATTTTTTCCTCCCCAAGCCAGCATGGTGTTGCACACAAAATTTTTCCCAGACTCACAGTTTCTTCAGAATGGAGAGAGTTGAAAATGTACACTCAGGCTTTTCTTTTCCATTTTGCAATTCTTCACATGATGTTCTCTCTAGTCTTACCCAGTGGGAAATATTGAGGGTATCAGACAACCGGGGTCAGTTAGAAACAAACTACATGGATGGGGCTCACATTGACCATAAAAGTAATCTTACACTTGCATTCCAGCCAGCAGAGGTGCACCATCAGGGAAACTAGGCAACAGCATCACTCTGCAGCAACCAACCATGGTTGATGCATCTGCCATGCTCAAATCATTAGCCAACTTCCATATCCCAACCTGGCTTTCTCTGCAAAACTTCCCAAGCTGTGACAAAGAGGCAACTAGGTGATTATCCACAGAAGGGGCATGTGACCCCACCCAATCCCAGCTGCCATATACTTTTGACCATCCTAGCCCTGTGTGTTCCATCAATCCCCAGGCTGAAAATCAGAGACAACTTAGTGGTTAAAGATAAAGTTTCTGGCTCTACCTGGACCCAGTGGCCAAGTAGCTTATATAATAAGCCTTGGTACCCCTGGAAGGAAGTTCACTTCTGATATATCTAATGGAAATCACTGGGGCATTAGAATCTGTAGAAGACATGACTTTATTGAGAAAAAGAATCCCAGTCTCAGCTTCAGCCCCTCCCTCTGCTGCTGGGAAGCAGCTACCCTGCTGGGGAACTTGCCTGTCTGAGCCAATGAATGTAGCCTATCCAGGCTCTATCCAGCAGGAAATGGATCTAGACTTTCCAGTTTTTTTCCCCTATGGGGAGGACCCACTTTCAGCTTTGGGCCTTCCCTAAGTCAGAGAACTACATAATCTTTGGGAAACTTTCTGGGCAATATGCAACTTTCTTAGCTGAGAGCAGGCCCTAAGTGATCTGTTCAACAGCAGATGTCAAGGGAGCTGATTTTCAGCCCCAAGGCCTCCTGCTGCAGGCAGAAAACTAGCCCATCTGTACAGAAACATTCCAGTAATAATCACAGCCAAAATTACAGCCATGCAATTTTCTGTTCCACAACAGAATCAAAGTGGACCCAGTCTTAGCTCCAGCCTGTCCAATCTCAATTTCCAAAATTGGATCATTACTAATAAATAACCTACCAGCCAAAAAAAAAAAAGCTGAGAAACTGATAGATTCAGGACGCATTCTACCATATCTACAAACAGTTGTATCATATTCCATTATGTGGGTGATCCTATTTTGTTCAACTGGTTTTGTATGTATGCTTACACACACACACACACACACACAAAATGCACACCACTGTTTCATGTTTTCTCTAAAAGCAGCAATGGAAATGCCATGCTGGTCTCTGGTATTATCTGAAGGCTTACTGGGGAAAGACCCGTTCCTCTGCTTGCATGACATTGTTGTCAGCAGCCTTGTCCACAATGGCAGTTTTTCAGTGGTTTCTTACAGCTCTCCAGATAACCTGCAATTAGGTTTATTTATATGGTTTACAATATATTTGTTAGCCTTTATCTCTAAACTTGAGGCTGGATACAATTGCTAAAGTATGTAATTTCAGAACTTTGGAAGGCCGATGTTGGAGGATCCTCTGAGCCCAAAAGTCTGAGACCAGAGTGATGTATAATTCAGCCTGTTGACAGAGCAAGACCCTGCCTCTAAGTAAATAAATAATAAAAATACAACTGATCATAGTATTTTTGTTTTACTGTTCGGAAACACAAATCTCCTTGATCAAATATATGAATATTTGATAGTCACTAACATAGCACATTGGCTTGTGCATGGGAACCAGTGCAGGAAAGCAGTAAGATGGGATGCTCTTTCTTCTTAATGCCTGAACATGTATATACTGTGATGATAGGACGTGAGTTTGGACCAGGAAGGTTTCTGCCAGAGCCATCAAAACTGTGGAAATAAAACCCTCCACAAGTCAGGAAACAAAACAGCCTTTACTAGTAATAGTAAATGGAAAATCTTTTGCAGATTTGATTTCATTTTTAATTTAGCATAGATTAGGCAGCATAATATAGACTACCTTGCCCCAATAGTATGCAATTTGATGACATATGTCAATTAAATTTGTTGAAAACTAGGTTTCAGCTCCTCCAAGAAGCTTAGTTACTTGAGTAATTTTGACAATACTCATAATTAAATGAGTAATTTTGAAAATATATAGGTGCTTATTTTAAAATTTCTGTTAGTCCACCGGAGACCTAAATATTACTAATATTATTGTAAACATAAAATATTACTTTAAACATAGTTTGAAATTCATGTGGATAATGAGCAAAATCGTAAGTTTTTATTTTTATTCATTTCCTTTTGGTTTTATGCCTTTCATTCTCTTTCTCCTTCCTTCCCTTCTTCCCTCCCTCCCTTCTTCCTTCTCTCCCTCCCTTCTCCCTGTCTTTCTTTCTTCCCTCCTTCCCTTCTCCCTGTCTTTCTTTCGTTCTCTTTCTTTTTCTTTCTTTCTTTCTTTCTTTCTTTCTTTCTTTCTTTCTTTCTTTCTCTTTCTTTCTTTCTTTCTTTCTTTCTTTCTTTCTTTCCTTCCTTCCTTCCTTCCTTCCTTCCTTCCTTCCTTCTTTCTTTCTTTCTTTCTTTCTTTCTTTCTTTCTTTCTTTCTTTCTTTCTTTCTTTTTCTTTCTTTCTTTCCTCTAACTCTGTATCTCTGTTTAATATTTTTAGATGGAATCCTGCTCTGTTGCCTAGGCTGGAGTGCAGTGGCATGATCTCAGCTCACTGCAACCTTCCCATCCTGGGTTCCAGCAGTTCTCCAGTCACACCCTCCCAAGTAGCTATGACTGCAGGCAAGTGACACCAATCTTGGCTTTTTTTTTCTGTACTTTTAGTAAAGACCAGGTTTCACAATATTTGCTCAGGCTGGTCTCAAGCTCCTTTCCTCAAGTCATCCACCCACCTTAGCCTCTCAAAATGCTGGGATTTCAGTCATAAGCCACAATGTCCACCCAGTGTTATGCATTTCTCTTCTCAGTGATCTGTCCTGTCTATTTTATTATTTTAGACACTGAGACAGTGTCTTGGCTCTGGTGCCCAGGATAGAGTGCAGTGGTGTCGTCTTACTTCACTGCAAACTCTGTCTCAGGGTTTCAGTGGATTCTCCTGCATCAGTCTCCCACATAGCTGAGATTATATCAATGGGACACCAAGCCCGGCTAGCTTTGCTATGATATTAGACATGGGATCTTGCCATGTTGGCCAGGCTTATCACAAACTCCTGACATCAAGAGATCCACCCACCTTGGCTTGCCAAATTGCTGGGAGTGCAGTTGTGAGCCACCATGTCCTGCCTCATATCTGTTTTAAAGCTCAGTTGATAAGCAATATTGTGTTCCTGGAATGCTTTATGTTTATGAAACCACTATAGCACCATTATTTAGCTCCTTCAGATAAAATATGATAACACACAAAACATACAGACAGACACAGACACAGTCAGTGATTAAAGATCAGTGTAGGCCAGGACCTAAAATGATATATGAGTTGCTGCAGTTGACTAAAATTAAAGCAGACCAGAGTTGGCACATACCCAGAAAAGAGATGTGAACAGAGTCTTGCTCTGTCACCTGGGCTCAAACTAGGGGAATTACTATTTTTTGGCATAATTACTGCTATCATCTTACTGAAAAATATCATATTAGATGGCAGCTTTTACTTAGATAAATCCTGTTGATTAATTTTTAATATCTATCATTTATGATATTGTACAAGTAAAGATCTTTGATAAGTTAAGTGGTTAGCTGAGAAATGAGTAAAATAACTCACAGCAATTCAAACATTCATTTACTTACTTGAAGTGACATACATCATTAACTTCTGCTGAAAGCAAAGTTGGGAAATTGCAAGTGCTAAATTGCTTACTAAAGCATGTATTTCAGGGTATTTTATAAAACTATCCATGCCATGTATGATGCTTCACCAGCCAGGATAAAGCTTTAGCATATATATATATATATATATGCTATACACACATTTAGCATATATATATATGTGTACACACACACATATGTACACACACAAGTATATGTACACACATATATATGCTAAAGACTGTATATCTATAAAGTCTTTATGTATATATAAAGACTGCATATACACATAAAGACTTTATATATATATAAAGACTATATATGTAAAGCATAAAGACTTTATATATATATAAAGACTATATATATAAAGACTATATATATATATATATATATATATATATATATATATATATAAAGTCTTTGGTTTTTAATGCATCTCTACATTTGTCTTCACAGCCTCAGCAAAAAAAAAAAACACCCATGTACTTGACTTTCAGCTCAGTTGACTACAAGTTATTAGGGTTTAAGTAAACAGAATAAAGATTTCAAAATTTGGTGACCAAATATAAGAAATCACATTCTCACCATAAGTAATAATTATTATGAAGTGTCACTGCAAATGTAAAGTTGAAAGAAGAAATTAAGTCTAATATATTGCAATATTCTAAAATCTAAAATTTCCTCTTTGAAGTCTGGTGGTTCACACCTGGAATCACAACTCTCTGGAAGGCGGAGAAGGGAGGACTGCTTCAAACCCAGAGTTTGACATCAGCACAGGCTACACAGCAAAAACTATATCTAAAGTGTAACTACTTATTTAATTGGTTAAATTGGGCATGATGGCACACATCTGTTGTTCTATTTACTCAGGAGTTCACGGTTGTAGTTAGGAGTGATCACACACTGCACTTCAGCGTGGGCCTTGAGGCAAAACTTTGTCTCTACAAAATAATTCAATATAAAAAGCAAAATAAATTAAAATAGAAACACTTTCAGGTGTTTTTTGAAAGTTTGTATAATTGCTCTAAAATCCTAGACATTGTTTAAAGTTGAGCAGTTCATGGGGGATTGGGCAGTGAACATTGTTTATTTTGTTTTCCAAAAATTAAGATAAATATATATATAAATATCTAATAACCTTTTATACAATAAATATTGAGAAATGTCAAGCCATTGTGTTCATAGATTTTCCTTCAAAATATTAATTTGAGAATGAAGAGAAGAGCAATAATTGGAATGTACTCTGACAAGTGTTACAATATATGCAATATAGTAACTTAGTTGGAGAGGAAGAAAGTTCTTAACTGGGTTTACAGGGGTGTGGGGAACCTTCTTAGAACAGCAACAAGTGACAGCATCTGTAAGGACACAAATTTTCAAGAAGAATGTTTGGGAGAAAAGCATTGTAGAAAAAAAGAAACATTCTTTCTATCAATGATAGAAGTACAACAGTGTATATGATGCCATCTGCCGAATGCTTAGACCATTCTAGCTCAATAAATATTTCCTGAAAGAATCCATGAATGGAAGATATTGGGAAAAGGATTCCAGAAGGGATTTTCAAAATCCTATAAAGGAAAGGTAAATAGCCTGGACTTTACCATTTTTGCCTGCTTTTCTTTATGTTCTTTTTATGTTTACTACCTCATAAGCTGTTTTACTTTTTGGTCTTTTCACAAATATCAAGCATGAATCATTCCTGAGAGTAATTCTCTCTTCATCCCTTGATACTGTATTTGTCTTTGATACTCCTTTGTGTGAGGCCCTGGGTTTGCATGCCCACAGCTACATCACTCACGTCTCCCTGGCACTGTTCTGTAATAGAGAGGCCTGGCCTCTGGGAGGTAGGGATCCTAGGCTCCCATAAAAATTACTTCCTCTTTCAGTTCAGTCAAGGGGTGACACTGCAGAGATAAGAGAACAAGAAGATGAGAGAAGCCAGTTTGTTTCCTTTTCCTTCTCAGTAAGAGATATGTTTCTGCAGTGATTCCATGCCTGCCGGACATGCTATCTGTGTTTCCATTTTGCATTCAGCGAGCCTAATCCTAGACTGGCTCTTCTAATGCCATTTTCTCCAATTGTCTTCTCTAAAGGTGCTATTTTGGAGTTTTAAATTTTAAAATATAATGATATGGAAGGAGGGCAGGGAAGTGCCTGGTAGAGGAGGGTGTGGTTCTTGGCTAGGGATCCACCATCACGCCTGTGCTCACTGACCTAGGTGAGGACACACACTTCTATTTTCTTGCCCCAGTTGGTGAGGACATGTGTTTCTGTTTTTTTGCCCAAGTGCTGCATTTTCCAAGACCACCCTGGCCTGCCATACCCCCATCCTGTGCTATAAGAAACCCTGAGACACTAGCAGGCAGATACACAGCAGCTGGACATCGAGAGGAACCATTAGCACAAGAAGACACAGCAACTGGACCTCGAGAGGACACCAGAGCAAGGAGAACACAACGACTGAGGCAGCAGGCCACTCACCACAGAACACAAGGTTTCATGGGGATGTGGGAGGACAGCTCTGAGCTGTCCCATTCCAAGGGAAAACCACGTTCCCACTCCATCTCCATTCTGGCTCCCCATCCATATGCTGAGCACTTCCAATCAATGAAACCTTGCACTTATTCTCCAAGCCCATGTGTGAGCCAATTTTTCAGGTACAGCAAAGCAGATAAGCTCAGGATGTGGAAAGCCCTCTGTCCTTGCAGTAAGGCAGGGTGTCTAATTGAATTAACACTAGTAGCCTACAGATGGATAAACTAAATTAGCACCGTGTAACACATGCCCGCTAGGGATTCAAGAAGTGTAAGCATTCACCCATAGATGGTACCTGGGGTCAGAACCCCAGATCCCATCCTTATTGATCTCCCAGCTGCAGGTAATAAGGGATGTTTTCCCATTCCAATATGAATCTGTTTCCAATGCAGTGTATTCTGCAATACTGCGGTGTTACCTTATTGCATATGTTTGACAAAATAATTTACAAACTATAACTAATCTGAGAAGAAAACAAATGGTGGAGAATAAGGAAGAAAAATGAAACATTATGTTTCACAATGAATGTTAACAATTATAGGTATGATTAATCAATACATGAGACCAGCCAAGCAGGTGCTTTATGTCATGAGGGAGCACTACTCCATCATCTTGGGCTTTCATTCTGGGACAGAGAGTGTGAGCAGCTATAAGGTCAGATAGAGAAGAGGACACAATCTGGTGAGGTGTGGATTGTGTCCCGCAAGTGCACCTGCAAAAAAGGTGAAGACAGATGACACAGAAGTTCCTTGCAACTGCATTACCACATCCTCTTAATTGCACAAGCCATGCACACCAGGGCCCGGTGTTCAAGTGGGAGTTCTCCAACATGCCATGAACATGTAGAGTACAAACTGGGGCTGTGCACTTAGAGGGCTTTCAAACACCGGGCCAAATGGGAGTGGGATGGATTGATGCTGGGTGGGATGTGGCCTCCACAGTTGCTCTTTTTTTTTCTGACTTCGATCTTCCTCATTGAATTAGGGTTTCCTTGGTCTGGCTCATTGTCTTCCATACTAAACATCTCCCAGTTCACAAAGGATGACCCTCATAGGAATCCATTGTGTGATTGTTTTCTTCTAAACACTGTCACATTTTAATGACTTGGCAGCTTTAATATTTTTAAAACTGTAAATTCCTTTAGAGCTGCCAACAGGGAAACTCTTGTTTTCCCACTTCTATCGGAGGGTGGCTTGATTCATATGGAATGAGAAGCAGGCAACTGTGTCTAATATTTGCCTGGTAATCTTGGCTCTGTTTCGTTTCATCTGCACGTCTTTTCATATTGTCACGGGTCTCTTTCAATGGGCTGTTGCTGGATGGGACTCCCTCTCACTGCAGGTCTTTTGACTGCAAGGAATTTCAGACAGCAAAGAAGACTTCAGAGAGACTGGCTGAGCTCCAGGTTGTGGGTCATGGTTGCATTGTTGGGGGTGAAGATTTTTGCAGTTTGCAGGAGGATTTTGAGTCCTCTGACAAGAATCATTGAACATTGCTTTGACTCCAGCATTTTGCAGCTTGTTCTCTCAGGTAAGCATTGATTTTTCTTGGCTTTCCTAGGGATTCCACATTGCCCATCAACTGAACTACTGGACACCATTTTCAGGTTTGCAATTGCCACAGATGGCCTCTGAGACACTGTCACAACTTCATCTGCCTATAGGCAAGGCCAGTTCGAGGTGAGAGAACACTGCTCCACCTTGAAATTGCCTTTGTAGTGGTTCTTGCCTTTCCCAGAGAGCCCCTGCAAGGCCCAGGATGAAGGGAGGCAGTGAGGTCAAGAGCCCAGCCATCTTTTGCAGACACCTGCCTCTGGGGTCTCAGGTGTGATTCCATCACATAAAGAACCCTCAACAACTCACTGGCCCCTGTCCCAATCCCCATGGGACCTGGTTCTTGCACATGGTCTCTTTCAGGAATGGAGTCAGAACAACAGTTTCCAGTGACCACCTCATAGCTTCTAAATACCTCCTCTTCCACCAGAACTCCACCACCAAGACGACCCGATGGGGCAATAAGTTTGAGACTTTTAGGGTCATGCAGGCAACCTTTTTCTCAATACCAGGACGGCTCTGCCTGTACCATTTTCCTCTGCTTAGGCAGCTGATGGCTCTGACAGGCAGGCACCTGATCCTGTCTCATGAATGTGCATGAGCTAGTCTTAAAGCACCAGGCCTGAGCAGTGAGCTCTGGCTAGTGTCACAATAAATGGAACCATTGCCTAGCGACAAGTCCCTGCACCTTTGTGGAGAATGAGACCTCTGTGGAGGTGTGTCAGTGGTGGACTCTTGCCTGTCTTTTCTGTGGGATACACAGGACAGTGCCATGATTCTAGTAGATGGTAGATGTGAGCCAGCCCGAAGGAACATCAAGGAGAGTTCCAGGAATGAACCGTGAAATCCCTAAGGATCCAAAAGGATATGCAGGTTGCCTCCAGCCTGGTTACATGTTTCAGGGGTTACTCTTTTTAAAACTTGTCTCAAAATGATTACTACATATAGCCCACCTGTGTTCCCTAGGGTAGCTGTTTCCCAGATGTGTCTGCCTGCAGAACCATGCAGCCTCAGAAGCTGGCTTGCTGTTTCTGTGGGAGTGCTGCTAGTAGTGGATGTCTGCTTGTGTGTGTGGCTTTGTGTATTTGTGGGTGTGTGTGTGGGAGTGTGTGCCTGTTAGTGGAGTCTGCTTAAAATAATGTGGGCAATGCATTGCAGCACTTCTTCTTCCTTTTTTTTTTTTTTTGAGTAACCTAACATTTGTTTGCCTGTGTGTGTGGTTCTGCTTGGGATGCAAGGCTCCGTGTTCTTTATTTTTCTGTGGATCATGAATCTGTAGTGAATTAGGAGTCTGACCAAGATGAGCCAGAGTCCAAATCACCTCCCCCTGAAAAAAATTTACTTTTCCAGAAAGAAGAGCAGCACGTCATACCCAAGACCAACATCTCTCAGTGTTTCACGCTAACCCAAGGAGAGACACTAGCAGTCTTCTCTGCAGGACCCCTTGAATTTACATTGAATTCCATCCCCAGCCGAGCAGGTGCTTAAAGTCAACAGGGGACACTCCATTTTCTTGGAATTTCATTCTGGCAAAGAGGGTGTGAGCAGCAATAAGGTAAGAGAGGGGTTAGGACACTGTCTGGTGAGGGGTGTATGGGGTCCAGCACCTTCAACTGCAAAAAAGGTGAAGACAGATGAAACAGAAGTTGCTTCAAACTCCATCGCTGCATTCCCTTAATTGCATCAGCAGCGCACACCATGGCCCCATGTTCATCTGGGAGTACTCCAACATGAAAGGAACATTTGGAGTGCAAACTGGGGCCATCTGGGCAAACCCCAGATTCATTATGATAGCCGAATGGGAGTGGGATGGATTGATGCTGGGTGGGATGTGGCCTCCACACTTGCCTCTTCTTTTCCTGACTTCCATGTTCCCCATCTGCCTAGGGTTTCCTGGGTCTGGCTAAATGTCTTGCACACTAAATGTTTCCTAGTTCACAGAGGATGACACTCATGGGAATCCGTTGCACGAATGTTTCCTTACAAACACTGTCACATTTTAATGACTGGGCTGCTTTGATATATGTAAAACCATAAATTCCCATTACAGTTGTGGGAAAAGAAACTGTTGCTCTCCAACTTTTATCAGAGGACAGTGTATTCCTGGAGCATGAGAAGGAGGCCGGTGTGTCTGGCTTTTGCTTGGTAATCTAGGATGTGTTTCATTGTATCTGCATATCCTTTCTCATTGTGGAGAGACAATTTCATTGGGCTATTGCCAGATGTGACTACCTCTCTCCACAAATTATTTAGCTGTCAGGGATTTCAAAGTGCAAAAGGGACTTTGGGTAGGCTGGTTGCACTCCAGGTTGTGGGTGATTGCATCATTGTGCGGGCTGAGGTTGTTTGCACTTTGCAAGATTTGAGTCCTCTGACAAGAATCATTGAACATTGCTTATACTCCAGCAAAAGGCACTCATTTTCTCAGGTGAGCCTTGATTGTTCTTTGCTTTCTTGGGGAATCCACAGTGCCCCTCATCAGCACTACTGGACACCCTTTTCAGGCTTGCCATCACCACAGAGGGCCTCTAAGACACTGTCTCAACCTTATCTGCACCCGTGAGAGGCCAGTCTGAGGTGTGGGAATACTGTAATACCTTAGTCTTAACTTTGTCTTGGATTCTGCCTTTCCCAGAAAGCCCCAGTGAGGTCAAGATAAAGGGAAGCAGTGAGGTCAAGAGCTTGGCTATCTTTCACTGACACCTGGCTCTGTGGTCTCAGGTTTCAGGTATAAATCTATCACCCAAAAATTCTAAACAACCTACCAGGCTATATTCCAATCCCCATGGGATCTGACTCTTGCACACAGTTTCTTTCTGGAATGGAGCCAGAAGAGCAGTTTCCAATGATCACCTCGCAGTCTCAAAATGCCTCTTCCTCCAGCGAGACCCAACCACGGAGACAGCCCAAAGGGGGCCTGAGGTGAAGACTTTTATGGTCTGATAGTGAGTTTTCTGAGGCAGCATTTTCCCCAGTACTAGGCTGGCTCTGCTCCAGGAATAAACCGTGAAATCCTTAATGATCAAAAAGATCTGCAAGTCTCCTCAGGTCTGCCTAGATGTTGTGGGGGTGAGTAGTTTTGAAACTTGCCCCACTGTGATTTCTAGGTACACCCTGACTGTATTCTCTGGTGTTGCTCTCTCCTAGGTGGGTCTTCCTGAAGAACCAACCAAACTCAGGAGCTACCAGGCTGCTTGTTTCTGTGAAAATGTTGTGAGTGTTGGATGTCTGCATGTGTGTGTGCCATTGTGTGCTTAGGGGTGTGTGTGTGTGTGTGTGTGAGTGTGTGTGTGTTTGCCTTTAACTGGAGTCTGCTTAAAGGACTGTGGATAATGCACTTCAGTGCTTCTTTTTTTGAGTCTTCCAAACTTCTGGTTGCCCCTTGAATTTACCTCAAATTCATTTCATTGCTGAGCAGGTGCTTCACATCATGAAGGGATATTTTTCCATCATCTTGGGATTTCATTCTGGGACATAGAGTATGAGCCACAATAAGGTCAGAGAGGAGTGAGGATACAATCTTGTGAGGGGTGAACTGGGTCCAGCAACTTTGCCTGCAAAAATAAATAAATTAATTAATTAATTAGTAAATGAAGACAGATGACATAGCAGGTGCTTCCAACTCCATCCCAGCATTCCCTTAATTGCACAAGCAGTCCACACCATGGCCCAGTGTTCAGGTGGGAGTACTTCATTATGTAAGCAACATTTGGAATGAAAATTGGGGCCCTCCTGGCAAACTCTTGATTTGAGGTTTTTCATACCCAGAGGCAAATCGGAGTGGAATTGATTGATGCTGGGTGGCATGTGGCATCTACACTTGCCTCTTCTTTTTCTGACTTCCATATTCCACATTGGCCTAGGGCTTCCTTGGTCTGGCTCAACAACTTCCACACTAAATGTTTCTCAGTTCCCAAAGTGTGACCCTCATGGGAATGCATTGCCTGAGTGTTTTCTTCTAAAAACTGTCACATTTTAATGACTAGGCAAGTTTGATACTTTTAAAATTGTAAATTCCCATTACAGCTGCCAACAAGAAACCTCTTGATCTTTCACTTCTATTGGAGGGCTGCATGATTCCCATAGGATGAGAAGCTGACACCCAAGTCTGGCTTTTGCCTGGGAATCTAGCCTCAGTTTCATTTCAACTGCATGACCTTCTCATTGTGGAGGAGCTCTATCACTGGGCTGTTGCTGGAAGGGATGGCCTCTCACAACAGATTATTTTGCTGCCAGAAATTTCAGAAAGCAAAAGGGACTTTGGGTAGGCTGGATGTGCTCCAGGTTGTGGGTCATTGTCTTGTTATGGGGACTGAGGTTTTTTTGCACTTTGCAGGAGGCTTCTGGGTCCTCTAACAGGAATCATTGAACATTGCTTGGACTCCAGCTCAAAGCAGCTATTTTTCTGAGTCAAGCCTTAGTTTTTCTGTTTTCATGGGGAATCCACAGTGCCCCTCAAAAGCACTACTGGACACATTCTTCAGTCTTGCCATCACCACAGATGGCCTCTGAGACACTGTCTCAACCTCATCTGCACACGTGAGAGGCCAGTCCCAGGTGTGAGAATGCTGCTTCCCCTTGGACTTACCTTTGCCGTGGTTTCTGTCTGTCTCAGAGAGCCCCTGTGAGGCACAGGATGAAGGGACTCAGTGAGGTCTAGAGTCTGCTCCCCAGGTTGTGGGTAATTGTCTCATTGCGGGAGCTGAGGTTGTATGCACTTCAGAAGGGGCTTTTGGGTCCTCTGAAAAGGATCATTGAACAATGCTTCAACTCCAGCACAATGTACTGGACACCTTTTTCAGGCTTGCTATCACCACAGTTGGCCTCTGAGACACTATCTCAACCTCATCTGCAACCATGTGAGGCCAGTCAGAGGTGTGAGGACACTGCATCACCTTGGACTTGCCTTTGTAACTCCTGCCTTTCCCCGAGAGCCCCTGCAAGGCCCAGGATGAAGGGAGAGGGGGAGGTCAAGAGCCTGGCCATCTTTCACTGACACCAATGTCTGGGGTCTCAGGCATGATTCTGTCACCCAACAAACCCTCAACAACACACCAGACAATATTCCAGACCCGTGGGACCCAATTCTTGCACACAGCCTCTTTCTGAAATGGAGGCAGAAGATAAGTTTCTGGCGATGACCTCACAGTCTTGAAACACCTCTTCCTCCAGTGGGACCTGACCACGGAGATGCCCCAAAGAGGCCTTGAGGTTGAGACTTTTATGATCCCAAAGTGGGTTTTCATAGGCAGCCTTTTTCTCAATACCAGGCTGGCTCTGCCTGTACCATTTTCCTCTGCTTAAGCCCATTGACAGCTCTGAAAGCCGGGCATCTGGGCCTGCCTGACAATGTGCATACCCTAGTCTAAAAGCACCAGGCCTGATTGTGAGCTCTGGCTAGCCTCACAGTGAATGCCACCGTTGCCTAGCAACAAGTCCCTGTGGCTTGGCAGATAAAGGGACCTCCGTGGATGTGTGTCTTCGGTGGACTGTCCCATGTCTTCCCTGTGGAATCGACAGGATAGTCCCATGATCCAAGGAGAGGGCAGATATGAGCCAGCCTGAAATAATATCAAGCAGAGCCCCAGAAATAAACTGCAAATCCCTGAGGATCCAAAATAATCTGCAGGATTCCTTAGGCCTGCCTAGATGTTGTAGGGGGTGAGTCTTTTTCAAACTGGCCCCACTGT
Organism: Homo sapiens; assembly: GCF_000001405.40. Lineage (NCBI taxonomy): Eukaryota > Metazoa > Chordata > Mammalia > Primates > Hominidae > Homo > Homo sapiens. The sequence continues at coordinate 6,468,677 of NC_000024.10, read as the reverse complement.
GATTTCTAGGTATAGCCTGCCTTTGTTCCCTGGGGTTGCTCTCTCCCAGGTGGGGCTTCCCGCAAAACCACACAACCGCAGGAGCTGCTGGGCTGTGTGTTTCTGAGGGAATGTTGTGAGTGCTTGATTTCTGCATGTGTGTGTGTGTGTGCCTGTAAGTGGAGTGGAGCCTGCTTAAAGGAATGTGGCTAATGCACTTCAGTGATTTTTTTTTTTTTGAGCCTCACCACTTTTGATGGCCTGTCTGGATGTCTCTTCTTTGGCTGTGGGGCTCTGTGTTCTTTATTCTTCCATATATCATGAATCCTCAGTGAATTGGGAGGTGGGCTGGGATGCGGTGGTGTCCGAATCACCCCCACCCATGCAAAAAAAGCCACTCTTCTTGATAGAAGAGGGGCACATGAAATCAAAAAAGCAGGCATCTCCTAGAGTTTGATTGTACTGTGGCCAAACTAGGGAGAGACACTAGCAATCTTGTCCAAAGGGCCCCTTGAATTTACCTCAAATTGGTTCTCTGCTGAGCAGATGCTTCACATCGTGAGAGGGCAGTTCTCCATCATCTTGTGATTTCATCTTGGGACACAGAGTGTGAGTAGAAATAGGGTCAGATGGGAAAGGATATAATCTGCTGAGGGGTGGATGGTGTCCTTCAACTTCACCTGCAAAAATACAAAATGAAGACAGATGACAGAGAAGGTGCTTCCAAATATATTCCAGCATTCCCTTAATTGCACAAGCAGTCCACACCATTGCCTGGTGCTCTGGTAAGAGTATTTTCAATGGGCAAGAAATATTTGGAGTGCCAACTGGGGTCACACTGGCAAACTCCTGTTTTGAGGGTTTTCATACCCGGAGCTAAATGGGAGTGGAAAGGATTGATAATGGGTAAGATGTGGCCTCCACACTTGCCTCTCCTTTTTTGATTTTATGTTCCTTATCAGCCTAGGGGTTCCTGGGTATGGCTCAATGACTTCCATACTAAATGTTTCTCTGTTCATGGAAAATGATCCTCATGGGAATCCATTGCATGAGTGTTTCCTTCTAAACACTCTCAGGTTTGAATAACTGTGCAGCTTTAATACTTTTAGAACCATAAATTCCCATTACAGCCACCAAGAAGGAAAGTCTTGTCCCACTTCTATCAGAAAGCCACATGATTTCTGTAGGATGAGAAGCAGGCAGCCATGTCTGGATTTGCCTGGTAATAGAGCCTCAGTTTCATTTCTTTTGCATGGCATTCTCATTGTAGAGGTACTCTTTGTTGGGATGATGCTGGATGGGACTGCCTTACACAGATTATTTAGCTGCCAAGGATTTCACACAGCAAAAGGGACTTTAGGAAAAATCGCTGTGCTCCAGGTTGTGCATAATTGTCTCTTCATGGGGGCTGAGGTTGCTTGCACTTTGCAGGAGGCTTTTGGGTCCTCTGGCAGGAATTATTGAACATTGCTTAAATTTCAGCATGAGGCAGCACATTCTCTCATGTGAGCCAATTTTTTTTTTTTTTTTTGGTTTATTGGGTGAATCCACAGTGCCCTTCAACAGTGCTACTGGACACCCTTTTCAGGCTTGCCATCACCACACATCGTTTCTGAGATACTGACTCAACCTCATCTGCACCCAATAGTGGAAAGTCTGAGGTGCAAGAACACTCCTCAATCATACACTTGACTTTGTTGTGGTTCCGGTCTGTCCCAGAGAGCCCTTGCGAGGCCCAAAATAAAGGTAGGCAGTGAGATCTAGAGTCCAGCCATCTTCAACTGGAACCCATCTCTGGGGTCTCAGGTGTGATTCTGTCACCCAAAGAACACTAATCAACACACCAGACTACATTCCAATACCCAGGAAATCAGATTCTTTCACCAAAAAGCAGATATCTCCCGGTGTTTCATTTTCCTGTGGCCAAATCAGGGAGACACACTAGCAGTCTTGTCCTCAGGTCTCCATGAATTTACCTCAAATTCAATTCCCAGCTGAGCAGGTGCTTCACATCATGAGGGGTTACTCCTCTATTTTCTTGGGATTTCATCCTGGGACATAGAGTGTGAGCCGCAATGAGGTCAGATAGGTGTGAGGATACAATCTGGTGAGCGGTGGATAGGGTCCCACAACCTCACCTGCAGAAAAATGAAGACAAATGAAACAGAAGGTGCTTCAAACTCCATCACTGTATGTTCAGATGGGAGTACTTCACAGTGCAAGGAACATTTGGGGTGCAAATTGGGGCAACCCTGGCAAACTCCAGATTTGAAAGCTTTCATACCCGGAGCCAAATGGGAGTGGACTGGATTGATGCTGGGTATGATATGGCCTCCAGACTTCCCTCTTAGTTTCCTGATTTTCATGTTCCTCATCAGGCTAGGGTTTCCTGGGTATGGCTCAATGACTTCCACACTAAACGTTACCCAGTTCATGGAGAACGACCATCATGGGAATCCACTGTGTGATTGTTTCCTTCTAAACATTGTCATATTTTAATGACTGGGAAGCTTTAATACTTTTAAGACAGTAAATTCTTGTTACAGCCACCAATAAGAAAACACTTGTTCTCCCACTTCTATTGGAGGGCTGCATGATTATTGTAGGATGAGAAGCAGGCAGCCATGTATGGGTTTTTGCCTGGCAATCTAGCCTCTGTTTCATTTCATCTGCATAGCCTTCTCACTGCGGAGGGGTTCTTTCATTGAGCTCTTGCTGGATGGGACTGCCTCTTGCCACAGATTATTTTGCTAACAGGGATTTCAGAGAGCAAAAGTGACTTTGCAGAGACTGGTTGCACTCAAGTTTGTGGTTCATGGTCTTATTTTGGGGGCTAAGTTTGCTTGCAGTTTGCAGGAGGTTTTTGGGTCCTCTGACAGGAATCACTGAACATTGCTTGGACTCCAGCGCAAGGCAGCTCATTCTCTCAGGTGAGCCTTAATTTTTCTTTGCTTTCATGGGGAATCCACAGTGCCCCTTAGCAGCACTACTGGACACCCTTTTTAGGCATGCCATCATCACAGATGGCCTCTGAGACACTGGTCTCAACCTTGTCTTCACCTGTGAGTGGCCAGTCCAAGGCCTGAGAGTAGGGCTCCACCTTGGACTTTCCTTTGCTGTGGCTCCTGCTTTCCCACAGAGGCTCTGCAAGGCTCAGGATGAAGGGAGGCAGTGAGGTCAAGGTCCTGGCCATCTTTCACTGACACCAGGCCCTGGGGTTTCAGGTATGATTCTATCATCCAAAGAACCATCAAAAACATACTAGACTTTATTCCAATGTCCACGGGACATAATTCTTTCACACAGCCTCTTTCAAAAAGGGAGACAGAAAAGTAGTTTCCACAGACCACCTCACAGTATTGATATTCTTCCTCCTTTGGTGGGACCTGACCACAGAGATGGCCTGAAGGGGAGCTGAGGTCAAGACTTTTAGGTTCTCATAGTGGGTTTTGCAGGCCTCCCTTTTCATGATACCAGGACAACTCTGCCTGTAGTATTTTACTTGGCTTAGGAAGGCTGACAGCTCTGACAGCTGGGTGCCCGAGCCTGATTCATGAATGCATATAAGCTGGTTTCAGGGCACCATTCCTGATTGTGAGCTCTGGCTAGCATCACAATTAATGTCACCATTGTCTAGCAAAAAGTTCCTGCATCTTGGCAATGCAGGAGGCCTCTGTGGAAGTGCATCCACAGGGGACTCTTGCCTGTCTTTTCTGTGGATCCATGGGATAGTTCCATAATCCTGGGAGAGGGCAAGTGGGAGCCAGCCTGAAGAAATGTCAAGCACAGCCCCAGGAATAAACCACAAAATCCCTAAGCGTCCAAAAATATCAGAAGGATTATTCAGGCCTGCCTACACATTGTAGGGGTGAGTGTTTTTGAAACTTTCCCCGCTGTGATTTCTAGGTGCAGCCCACCTGTGTTCCCTGGGGTTGCTCTCTCTTAGGTGGGGCTTCCTACAGAATGACACAGCCTCTAGAGCTGCCTCACTGTGTGTTTCTGTGGGAGTGTTGCAAATGTTGGATGTCTGCGTGTGTGTGTGGCACAGCGTGTTTGTGTTGTCTGTGTGTGTGTGTGTGTTTGTGCCTGTAAGTGGAGTCTGCTTAAAGAAATGTGGCTAATCCACTTCAGCGCTACTTTTCTTGAGTCTCAACACCTTTTGGTGGACTGTTTGTTGGGTCTGCTTGGGCTGTGTTTTCTTTATTGATCTGCGGATCATGAATCCGCAGTGAATTAGAAGCTTGCCAAATCCCACCGCCATCCAAATCACCTCCCCCTGCAAAAAAAAAAAAGCCACTCTTCTAGAAAGAAGAGGAGCACACTACACTGAAAAACAAACATCTTCCAGTGTTTCATTGTCCTGTAGCCAACCCAGGTAGAGACACTAGCAGTCCTGTCCGCAGAGCCCCTTGTATTTACCTTGAATTCGGTTGACAGCCTAGGAGGTGCTTCATGCTGTGAGGGGGCACTCCTCCATCGTCTTGGGACTTCATCCTGGAACATAGAGTGTGAGCAGCAATAAGGTCAGGTAGGGTGGAGGATCCAATCTGGTGAGAAGTGAATGGGTCCTGCAACTTCACCTGCAATAAAAATGAAGACAGATGACACAGAAGGTGTTTCAAACTTCATCCCCTCATTCCCTTAATTGCACAAGCAGTCCCCACCAAGGCGCAGTGTTGAAGTGGGAGGACTCCAATGTGCACAAAACATCTGGACTGCAAATTCGGGATATCCTGACAAACTGCTGATTTGAGGGCTTTCATATTCAGAGCCAAATGTGAGTGGAATGGATTGATGCTGGATAGAATGTGGGCCTCCACCTCATCGGCCTAGTGTTTCCTGTGTCTGGCTCAAGGACTTCCACATTAAACATTTCCCAGTTCATGGAGAGAGGCGCTTATGGAATCCATTGCATTAGCATTTCCTTCTAAACACTGTCACATTTTAATGACTTGGCAGCTTTGACATATTTAAAACCATGAATTCCCGTTACAGCCACTAACAAGGAAACTCTTGTTCTCCCACTTCTGTTAGGGGGCTGCTTGATTCCTGCAGGATGAGAAGCAGGCAGCCATGTCTAGCTTTTGCCTGGCAGCCTTGCCTCTGTTTTATTTTATCTGCATGGCCTCCTCAGTGTGGATGGTCTCTTTCACTGGGCTTTTGTTGGATGGGACTGCCTCTCACCACAGATTATTTAGTTGCCAGCTATTTAAGAGAGCAAAAGGGACTTCATGTAGGCTGGCTGTGCTTTAGGTTGTGGGTTGTTTTCTGGTTGTGTGGGATGAGGTGGTTTGCACTTTGCCTGAGGGTGTTGGGTCCTCTGACAGGAAGAATTGAACATTGCTTGGACTCCAGCACAAGGCAGCCAGTTCTCTCAGGTGAGCCTTGATTTTTTGTTTGTTTGTTTTCATAGGGAATCCACAATGTGCCTCAACAGCACCGCTGGACACCTTTTTTCGGCTTGCCATCACCACAGACTGCCACTGAGACCCTGTCTCAACCTCATCTGCACCCTTGAGTGGCCTGTCTGAGGTGTGAGAACACTGCTCCACCTTGGACTTGCCTCTTTTCTGGTTCCTGCCTTTCCCAAAGAGCCCTTGTAAGGCATAGAATAAAGGGAGGAAGTGAGGTCAAGATCCTGGACATCTTTTGCTGACACCCACCTCGGGGGTCTCAGATATGATTCCGTCACACAAGGTATCCTCAAAAACAAACTAGACAATATTCCAATCCCAATGGGACCCAATTCTTGCACACTGTCTCTTTCAAGAATAGAATCAGAAGAGCAGTTTCCAGTGACCACCTCACAGTCTGGAAACATCTCCTTCTCCAGCAGAACTTGACAGTGGAGATGCACTGAAAGGGCCCTAAAGTTGAGCCTTTTATGATCCTGCGGTGGATTTTCACAGGCTACCTTTTTCCTGATACCAGGCTAGCTCTGGCTGTACCATTTTCCTCTGCTTAGGCAGGCTGACAGCTATGACTCACAGATGCCCAAGCCTGCCTCACAAAAGCGCATGTGCTAGTCTCAGGGCACCAGGCCTAATTGTGAGCTATGGCTAGTGTCACAGTGAACTTCACCATTGCCTAGCATCAAGTCCCTGCAGCTTGGCAGAGAAGGAAACCTCCATGGGGGAGCGTCGGCCGTGGACTCTCACCTGTCTTCTCTGTGGGATCCCTGAGATAGTCCCATGATCCTAGGAGGGTGTAGACATGAGCCAGCCTGAAGAAACATCAAGCACCGGCCCAGGAATAAACTGTGAAATCTGTAATGATCCAAAGGGATCTGCAGGTTTCCTCAGGCCTGCCTAGATGTTGTAGGGGTGACTCTTTTTGAAACTTGGCCCTCTCTGACTTCTTGGTGCATCCCACCTGTGTTCCCCAGGGTTGCTCTCTCCAAGGTGGGGCTTCCTGCAGAACCATGCAGCCTCAGGAACTGCCGGGATATGTGTTTCTGTGACAAAGTTGCGAGTGTTGGATGTTTGCGTGTGTGTGTGTGTGTGTGTGTGTGTGTTATTGTGGGTTTGTGTGAGTATGTGTATGTCTGTGTGTGCCTGTAAGTGGAGTGTGCTTAAAGGAATGTGGCTAATGAACTTCAGTCCTTCCTTTTTTTTTTTTTTTTTTGAGTCTCCTAACCTTTTGTTGGCCTGTCTGTGTGGTTCTGCTTGGGCTGCAGGGCTCAGTGTTCTTTATTTTTCTGTGGTTCATTAATTGAAAATGAATTGAGAGACAGGCTGGCCTCCAAATCACCTCCCCATGCAAAAAAAGGCACCCTTCTAGAAGTAAGAGGAGCACACCACACCAAAAAGACAAACCTCTCCCAGAGATTCATTGTCCTGCAGGAAACCCAGGGAGCACACTAGCAGTCTTGTCCACAGGCCTTTTGAATTTACCTCATATTCGGTTCCCAGCCAGCTAGGTGCTTCACGTCGTGAGAAGGCACCCTCCATCATCTTGGGATTTCATTGTAGGACATAGAGTGTGACAATCAATAAAGTCAGATAGGAGTGAGGATACAATCTGGTGAGGGGCAGATGCGGTCCAGCAAAAAAAAATGAAAGATGATACAGAAGGTGCTTCTAACTCCATCCCCACATTCCCTTAATTGCACAACCAGTTCACACCAATGCCCCACTGTTCAAGGGGGAGTACTCCAATGTGCAAGGAAGATTTGGAGTGCAAATTGAGGCCATCCTGGAAAACTCCTGATTTAAGGACTTTCATTGCTATAGCCAAATGAAAGTGGAATAGATTGATGCCGGCTGCAAACCAGCCTGAAGAAACATCAAGCAAAGCCCCAGGAATAAACTGTGAAATCCCTAAGGATCCAAAAAGATCTGCAAAAGACCTCAAGCCTTCTTAGACATTGTATTGGTTAGTCTTTTTTTTTCTCAGTTTTTATATTATATATGTAATTAATATTTGATATTATAAAGCACATTTATCAGTTAATTTTATTATATTCTCATGAGTCCATTACATAACTATTATTATATGAACTTTTTTTTATACTTTAAGTTTTAGGGTACATGTGCACATTATGCAGGTTAGTTACATATGTATACATGTGCCATGCTGGTGTGCTGCACCCACTAACTCGTCATCTAGCATTAGGTATATCTCCCGATGCTATCCCTCACCCCTCCCCCCACCCCACAACAGTCCCCAGAGTGTGATATTCCCCTTCCTGTGTCCATGTGATCTCATTGTTCAATTCCCACCTATGAGTGAGAATATGCGGTGTTTGGTTTTTTGTTCTTGCGATAGTTTACTGAGAATGATGATTTCCAATTTCATCCATGTCCCTACAAAGGACATGAACTCATCATTTTTTATGGCTGCATAGTATTCCATGGTGTATATGTGCCACATTTTCTTAATCCAGTCTATCATTGTTGGACATTTAGGTTGGTTCCAAGTCTTTGCTATTCTGAATAATGCCGCACTAAACATACAGGTGCATGTGTCTTGATAGCAGCATGATTTATAATCCTCTGGGTATATACCCAGTAATGGGATGGCTGGGTCAAATGGTATTTCTAGTTCTAGATCCCTGAGGAATCGCCACACTGACTTCCACAATGGTTGACCTAGTTTACAGTCCCACCAACAGTGTAAAAGTGTTCCTATTTCTCCACATCCTCTCCAGCAACTGTTGTTTCCTGACTTTTTAATGATTGCCATTCTAACGGGTGTGAGATGGTATCTCATTGTGGTTTTGATTTGCATTTCTCTGTATTGGTTAGTCTTTTTGAAACTTGTCCCACTGTGATTTCTAGATTCAGCCCACCTGTGTTCCCTAGGGATGGTCTCTTTCAGGTGGAGCTTCCTGCAGAACCATGCAGCCTCAGAAGCTGCTTGGCTGTGTGTTTCTGTGGGAGTGTTGCGAATGTTGGTGTGGCTGTGTTTGTGTGTGTGGGTGTGTGTGTGTGTGCCTGTAAGTGGAATCTGCTTAAATGAATGTGGCTATTACACTTCAGCACTACTTATTTTTGAGTCTGTCAAACTTTTGGTGGCCTGTTTGTGTGGCCCTTCTTGGTCTGTGGCATTACATGTCCTTTCTTTCTTTCTTTCTTTTTTTGTGGATCATGAATCCACAGTGAATTGGGAGATTGGCTAGACATGCCAAAATTAAATTATGTACCACTGCAAAAAACAAAGCAAAACAAAACAAAAAACTCTTCTAGAAAGAGGAATAGCAAACCACACCCTAGAACAGACATCTCCCAGTGTTTCATGTTCTGCAGCAAACCCAGGGACAGGCACTTTCAGTCCTGTCCGCAGGGCCCCTTGAATCTACCAGGAATTTGATTCCCAGCTGAACAGGTGCTTTTTGTCACAATCCTCCATTATCTTGGGATTTTGTTCTTGGACAGAGAGTACAAGCAGCAATAAGGTCAGACAGGTGTGAAGATACGATCTTGTGAGGGGTAGATAGGTTCCTGCACATTCACCTGTAAAAATGGTGAAGACAGATTACACTGTCAGAATTCAATGACTGGACATCTGTAATGTATTTAAAACCATAAATTCCCAGTACTGACACCAACAAGGAAATTCTTGTTCTCCCTCTTCTATCAGATGGCTGCATGATTCCTGTAGGATGAGAAGCATGCAGCCATGTCTGACTTTTGCCTGGTGATCTATAGTCTGTTTCATTTCGACTGCAGATCCTTTCTCATTGTGGAGAGGGTCTTTCAGCTGTTGCTGGTTGTAACTGCCACTCACCACAGATCTTTTGGCTGCCAGCGATTTTAGGGAGCAAAAGGGCCTTCAGGTAGGCTGGCTGCATTTCAAGTTGTGGATCATGGTCTCGTTGTGGAGGCTGACATTGTTTGCACTTCTCAGGAGGCTTTTGGGTATGCCGACAGGAGTCTTTGAATGTTGCTAGGACTCCAACAAAAGTCAGCTCTTTCTCTCAGGCAAGCCGTGAGTTTTTTGTGCTTTCATGGGGTGTCCCCATTGCCACCCAACAGTACTATAGGACACAATTTTCAGGCTTGCAATAGCCACAGATGACCTCTGAGACAATGTCTCAACGTCATCTGCCTCCGTGAGAGGGCATTTTGAGGTTTGAGAACTCTGATCCAACTTGGACTTGCATTTGTTGTGGTTCATGCCTTTCCCAGATAGCCCCTGGGGGGCCCAGAATGAAGAGAGGCAATGGGGACAAGGGCTTGGCCATATTTCACTGACAAACACCTATGGAGTCTCACGTATGATTCCATGATAAAAGGACCCCTCAACAACTCACCAGACTCTATTCCCATCCCTATGGGACCTGATTCTTACAAATAGCCTCTTTCGGGAATGAAGTCAGAAGAGCAGTTTTCCATGACAACCTAACAGTCTGAAAACACCTCTTCCTCCAGTGGGACCCGACCAAGGAGATGGATGGAAGGGGTGCTAAGGTTGACATATTTAGGTTCCCACAGTTGGTTATCGCAGGCAGCCTTTCTCCCGATATGAGGCTGGATCTGCCTGTACCATTTTCCTTTGCTTAGCTCTGACAGCCTAGCACCTAAGCCTGCCTCGTGAATGTGCATGTGCTAGTCTCAGGGCACCACCCCTGAGCTGTGAGCTCCAGTTAGCCTCACAATGAATAACACTTTTCCTAGTGAAAAGTCCCTGTGTCTTGGCAGAGAAGGAGACCTCCATGAAGATGCTTCACGGTAGACTCTCGCCTCTCTTCTTTGTTGAATCCTTGGGATAGTCCCATGATCCTAGGAGAGGGCAGATGTGAGCCAGCATGAAGAAGCATCAAGCAGGGCCCCAGGAATAATCTGTGAATTCCTTAACTATGCTAAAGGGTCTGCAGATGCCTCAGGCCTGCCTAGACGTTGCAGGGGGTCTTTTGAAACTTGTCCCACTGTGGTTTCTACATACAGCATGCCTGTGTTCCCCAGGATTGCTCTCTCCCAAGTGGGACTTCCTGCAGAACCACACAGCTTCAGAAGCTGCTGGGAGTGTGTTTCTGTGGGAGTGTTGCCAGTGTTGGTTGTCTGTGTTTGTGTGTGTGTGTGTGTCTGTAAGTGGAATCTGCTTTAAAAAATGTGGTTAACACACTGTAGCTCTTCTTTGTTTTTGAGTCTCCCAAACTTTTTGTGGCCTATCTGTGTGGCTCTGCTTGGGCTGCTGGGTTCTGTGTTCTTTATTTTTCTGCAGATCATGAATCTGCCATAAATTGAGAGATGGCATGAGACCCGCCATGGTCCAAATAACCTCCCCCCACAAAAACAAAACAAACAAACAAACAAAGCCACACTTCTAGAAAGAAGAGGAGCACAGGAAATTCAGGAACAGAAATCTTTCAGTGTTTTATTGTCCAGTGTACACCCCATTTAGAAACACTAGCAGTCCGGTCCGCAGGGTCCCTTGAATTTACTTCATATTCAGTTGCTAGCCAAGCAGGACCTCCACACCGTGAGGGGGCACTCTTCCATCATCTTTGGATTTCATTATGGGAAAGATACTTTTAACTTCAGATAAAGCTGAGGATACAAGCTGGTGAGGGATGGATGGGGTCCCGCACATTCGCCTGCAAAAAAATGTGATGACAGATGTTACAGAAGGTGCTTCCAACTGCATCCCCACATTTCCTTAAATATACAAGCCATCCACACCATGGCCTGGTGTACATTTGGGAGCACCCCAATATGCAGGGAATGTTTGGAGTGCAAACTGGAGCCATCCTGGCAAACTCCCTATTTGAGGGCCTTTATACCAGGAGCCAAATGGGAGTGAGGCCATTTGATGTAAGGTTTGATGTGGACACCATACTTACCTCTTATTTTCCTGACATCCATGTACCTCATCAGCCTAAGGTTTCTTGGGTCTGGCTGTACATATTCCACATTAAATGTTTACCACTTAATGGAAGACGACCCTCAAGGGAATCCATTTCATGAGTGTTTTCTTCTAAATACTATTGGGTTTTAATGACTGGGCAACTTTGATTGTTTTAAAACCATAAATTTCTGTAACAGTAGCCAAGAAGGAAACTCTTCTTATCCAGCTTTTATCAGACAGCTGCTTGATACCTGTAGGAGGAGAAGCAGGCAGCTGTACCTGGCTTTTGCCTGGGAAGCTAGGCTCTGTTTCATTTCATCTGCTGGTCTTTTTTCATTGTGGAGGGCTCTTTCATTGGGCTGTTACTGGATGGTGCTACCTCTTGCCACAGACTTATTGGCTGCCAGGGATTTCAGAGAGCAAAAGGGACTTTGGGTAGACTGGCTGTGCTTTAGGTTTGGGGTCATGGTTTCCTTGTGGGGGCTGAGATTATTTGCAATTTGCAAGAGGCTTTTGGGTCTTCTGACAGAAATCTCTAAATGTTGCTTTGACTACAGCACACGACAGCTCGTTCTCTCCTGTGAGCCTTGATTTTCCTTTGCTTATATGGGGGGTCCACAGTGCCCTTTAACAGCACTACCTGACAAACTTTTCAGGATTGCAATCATCACAGATGTCCTCTGAGACACTGTCTCAACCTCATCTGCAACCGTGAGAGGCCACTTAGAGCTGTGAGAATACTGTTCCACCTTGGACTTGCCTTTGTCATGGTTCCTGCCTTTCAACAAGAGCCCCTGCGAGGCTCAGGATGGGTGGGGGCAGTGAGGTTAAGAACCTGGTCATATTTCACTGGCACCCACCTGTAGGGTCACACGTATGATGCTATCACTGAAAGAACCTTCCACAACTCACCAGACAACCTTCCAATCCCCATGAGACCTGATCTTGCACACAGCCTCTTTCAGGAAGTTCTCAACAACCCCCTCAGTCTAAACACCTCCTCCTCTAGTGGAACCGGATCACAGGTACGGCGGAAAGGGGCCCTAAGTTTGAGACTTTTAGGGTTCCACAGTGGGTTATCACATGGAGCAGCTTTTTCCCCAGTACCAGGCCGGCCCTGCCTGTACCATTTTCCTCTGACACACAGGTGCTGAGCCACCCACAAATGCACATGCGTTAGTCTCAGGGCACCGGGCCTAAGCTGTGAGCTCTGGCTAGCCTCACCATGAATGTCACAATTCCGTGAGGTTTGGCGGAGAAGGAGACCTCTGTGGAGGTGCATCAGTGGTGGACTGTCCTCTCTCTTCTCTGTGGGATCCACAGGATAGTCCCACGATCCTAGGGGAGAGCAGACAAGAGCCAGCTGGAAGATACGTCAAGCAAACCCCAGGAATAAACCGCGAAATCCGTAAGGTTCCAAAAGGATCTGAAGGGTGCCTCAGGCCTGCCTAGGTGTGCAGAGGTGAGTCTTTATGAAACTTTACCCACTGTGATTTTTAGGTGCAACCCGCCTGTGTTGCCCAGAGTTGTTATCTCCCAGGTAAGGCTTTCTGCAGAACCATGCAGCCTCAGAATCTGCCGAGCTGTGTGTTTCTGTGAAAGTATTGAGTCTTTGATGTCTGCCTATGGGTGTGGCTTTTTTGGCACTGTGTCTGCTTAAAGGAATGTGGCTAACGCACTGCAGCAACTTTTTTTTTTTTGTCTCCCAACCTTTAGTTCACCTGTCTGTGTGGCTCTGCTTGGGCTGCAGGGCTCCACGTTTTTTATTTTGCTCTGGATCATGAATCCAAAGTGTAGTGGGAGGCTGGCTGTGACACACCGAAGTCCACATCACCTCTGCCTGCAAATAAAGCTACTCTTCTAGAAAGAAGAGGAGCACACCACATCCAAGAAAGGACATCCCTCTGTATTACCTTGTTCTATGGCCATCCCCGGAGGAAACACTAGCATTCCTGTCCTCACAGCCCCTTGAATTTACCTTGAATTTGCTTCCTAGCTGAGCAGATGCTCCACGTCCTGAGAAGGAACTCCTAGATCATCTTGGGATTTCATTTAGGGAAAGAGAACATGAATAGCAATAAGGTCAGAAGGGGTAAGGATGCAATCTGGTGAGAAGTGGATGGGGTCCCACACTTCCAATTGCAAAAAATGTGAAGACAGATGACACAGAAAGTGATTCCAACTGCATCCTCACATTTCTTTAATTACACAAGTAGTTCACACTATGGCCTGGTGTTCAGGTGGGAGTACTCCAACATGCAGAGAACATTTGAAGTGCAAACTGGGGCCATCCTGGCAAACTGCAAATTTGAGGGCTTTCATACTCGGCTCCCATTGAAAGTGAGAATGATAGACACAAGGTGGGATGTGGCCTCCACACTTGCCTCTTCTTTTCCTGTCTTCCGTATTTCTTGTCAGCCTAGGGTTTCCTGGATCTGGTTCATGTATTCCACGATAAAGTTTTCCCAGTGTTTCCTTCTAAACACTGTCACGTTTTAGTGACTTGGCCCCTGTGATAATTTTGAAACCATAAATTCCTGTTACAGCCAACAACAAGGAAACTCTTGCTCTTCAACTTTTATCGGAGTGCTGCATGAGTCCTGTAGGATGAGAAGCAGGCAGCTGTGTTTGGCTTTTGCCTGGTAATCTATGCTCTGTTTCATTGCATCTGCACATCCTTTCTCATTGTGGAGGTGGTCTTTCATTGGGCTGTTGCTGGATGGGGCTGCCTCTTACAATAGATCTATGGGCTGCCAAGGATTTCAGGGAGCAAAACAGACTCTGGGTAGGTTTGGTGGCACTCCAGGTTGTGGATCAGTGTCTTGTTATGTGTTGCTTGCACTTTGCAGGAGTTTTTTGAGTTCTCTGACAGGAATTTTTGAATGTTGCTTAGACTCTAGCACAAGCCATCTTTTTCTCACACACGAGCCTTGATTTTTCTTTGCTTTCCTGGGAAGTCCACAGTGCCCCTCAACAGCACTACTGGACATCCTTTTCTGTCTTGCCATGGCCACAGATGGCCTCAGAGACACTATCTCAACCTCATCTGCACTGGTGAGAGGCCAGTTCGAGGTTTGAGAACACTGCTCCCTATTGGACCTGCCTTTGTTGTGGTTCCTGTGCTTCATAGAGAGACCCTGCGAGGTCCAGAATGATGGGAGACAGTGAGGTTAAGGGCCCAACCATCATTCATAGGCACCCAATTCTAGTTTCTCAGGTATAATTCCATCACCCAAAGACCCCTCCTCAACTCACCAGACTACATTCCAATCCCCATGGGACTGGATTCTTGCACACAGCCTCTTTCCAAAAGGGAATCAGAAGAACAGATTTCAGCGACCACCTCAGTCTCTGAATGCCTCCTACTCCTGCAGGAGCTGACCAGGGAGACGGCTTGAAGTCGCCCTAACTTCGAGCATTGTAGGGTCCCGCAGTGCATTATTGCAGGCAGCCTATTTCTGGATACCGAGCCAGCTCTATGTGTACCATTTTCTTCTGCTTCCACAGGCTAACATCTGTGAAAGCCAGGCCAGCAAGCATGCCCTCAAATGCACATGCACGCCTCAGGGCACCAGGCCTGACTATGAGCTCTGGCTAGCATCACAATGAATGTCACCATTACATAGAGATCAGTCCTGGCTGCGTGGCCAAGAAGGAGACCTCCATAGAGGTGCCTTGGTGGTGGACTCTTGCCTGTCTTCTCTGAGGGATCCACAGGATACATCCATATTCCTAGGAGAGGGCAGACATGAGCCAGCATGCAGAAATGTCAAGCAGAGCCCAAGGAATAAACTGCAAAGTCCCTAAGGCTACAAAAGTATCTGCAGGATGTCTCAGGCCTGCCTGGGAGTTGTAGGGTTGAGTCTTTCTGAAACTTTCCCAACTGTGATTTCTAGGTAGAGCGCTCTGTGTTTGCCGGGGTTGCTCTCTCCCAGGTGGGGCCTTCTGCACAAACACACAGCCTCAGATGCTGCCAGGCTCTGTTTCTGAGGGCATGTTGCAAGTGTTGGATGTCTAGGTGTGGTGTGGCTTTTTGGCTTTGTGTGTTTTAGTGTGTGTGTGTGTGCACGCGGGCCAGTAAGCGGAGTTTGTTTAAAGGGAGGTGGGTCACACACTGCAGAGCTTCTTTTATTTGAGACTTCCAACATTTTCATGCCCTGTCTGTATGGCTCTTCTGGGGCTGTAGACCTCCCTGTTCTTTATTTTTCTGAATCCACAGTGAATTGCGAGGCTGGCTGTGACACGCTGAGGTCCACATAACAAATGACTTCCAAACAAACAAACAAAAAAAGCCACTCTCTAGAAAGAAGAGCTGCAGCACACCATACCCAAGAACAGAAATCCTTCAGTGTGTCAGTGTCCTGTGGCTATCCCAGGGAGAAACACTAGCAGTCCTGTCCACAGGGCCCCATGAATTTACCTCAAATTTTGTTCATAGGTGAGCAGGTACTTCCTGTCGTCAGGGTTCACTCCTCCATCATCTTGGGATTTCATCCTGGGTCATAGAGTGTGAATGGCAATAAGGTCAGATAGGGGTGAGGATACAACCTGATGAGGGGTGGATGGGGACCTGCACCTTCACCTGCAAAAATGTAAAGACAGGTGACACAAAAGGTGCTTCAAACAGCATTCCCACATTTCCTTAATTGCAGAAGCAGTCCACAACTTGGCCTGGTGTTTAGTTGGGAGTACTCCAACGTGCAGGGAATATTTGAAGTGCAAACTGGGGCCACCCTGGCCAACTCCTATCCTGACTTACATGTGCCTCATAATCCTAAGGATGATTGGGTATGGCTCAATGTCTTCTACACTAAATGTTTCCCAGTTCATGGAAGGTGACCCTTGGGGGGAATCCATTGAGTAAGTGTTTCCTTCTAAACACTTACTGCCCTGTCATGTTTCAATGACAGGGCAGCTGCGATGCGGTAATTCTAAAACAGTAACTTCCTGTTACTGCTGCCAACAAGGAAACTCCTGTTCTCCAAGTTTTATTGAAGGGCTGCATGATTCCTGTAGGATGAGAAGCAGGCAGCTGTGTCTGGATTCCACCTGGTAATATGGTCTGTGTTTCATTTTATGTGCACATCCTTTCTCATTGTGTAGGGGGTCTTTAATGTGCTGTTGGTGGATAGGGCTGCCTCTCATCACAAATTTATTGGCTGACAGGGATATCATGGAGCACAAGGGACTTCAGGTAGGCTAGCCACATCCCAGGTTCTGGGTCTTGTTCTCATTATGTGGGATGAGGATGTTTGCACTTTGCAGGAGGCTTTAGGGTTCTCTGACAGGAATCTTTGAACTTTGCTTGAACTCCAGCAAAAGGCAGCTGGTTCTCTCATGTGATCTTTGATTTTCCTTGCTTTCATGGGGGGTCAACAGTGACACTCACTACCGGACACCCTTTTCAGGTTTGCAATCGCCACAGACAGCCTCTGAGACACTGTCTCAACCTCATCTGTACCTGTGAGAGGCCAGTTCTAGGTGTGGTTCCTGCTTACCCGAGAGAGATCCTGTGAGGTCCAGGATGAAGTGAGGCACTGCGGTTAAGGGCCTGGTCGTCTTTCATTGACACTCATCTCTGGGGTCTCAGGTATGATTCTATCATTCAAAGACCCCTAAACAACCCACCAGACTACATTCCAATCCCCATGGGACCCAATTCTTGCACACAGCCCATTTTGGGAATGGAGTCAGAAGAGCAGTTTTTCATGACCAACTCAGTCCAGAAATGCATCCTCCTCCTGTGGGACCATTAAAGATGGCCCTAGGTGCCCTAAGGATGAGACTTTTAGGGTCCCAGAGTGGGTTATCACAGGCAGCATTTTCCTGGATACCTTTCGGCTCTGCATGTATCATTTTCCTCTGCTTAGGCAGGCTGACAGCTCTAACAGCAGGGCTTGCTGTTAGAGCTGTCATGCTGTAGAGCACATGCTGTAGAGCATGCACTACTCTTGGGACACCAAGCCTGATTGTGAGCTCTAACTAGCACCACAATGAATTTCACCATTGCCTAGTGAAAATTCCTGCATCTTGGCAAAGAAGGAGACTTCTGTGGAGGTGCATCAGTCATGAACTCTCACCTGTCTTCTCTGTGTTATCCACAGGATTGTCCCATGAGAGTAGGAGAGGGCATACATAAGCCAGCCTGTAGTAACGTCAAGAAGGGTCCCAGGACTAAACCACAATATCTCTAATGATCCAAAAACATCTGCAACATTTCTCAGATATGCCTAGATATTGTAGAGGTGAGTCTTTTTGAGACTTGCCCCATTGTGATTTCTAGGTACAGCCTGCCTGTGTTCCTCAAGGTTGCTCTGGCCCAGGTGGAGATACCTGCAGAACCACGCAGCCTCAGGAGCTGCTGGCCTGTGTGTTTCTGTGGCAGTGTTGCAAATGTTGGATGTCTCTGTGTGTGTGTGGCATTGTGTATTTCTGTGTGTGTTTGTAAGTGTGTGTGTGAGAGCCTGTAAATGTAGTCTGCTTAAAGCAATGTGGCTAAAAAACTTCAGTGTTTTTTTTTTTGAGCCTCCCATCATTTTGGTGGCCTGTCTGTGTCTCTGCTTAGCCTGCAAAGCTTTGTGTGCTTTGTTTTTCTGTGAATTATGAATCTCACATGAATTGGGAGGTGGGCCAAATCCCGCTGGCATCCAAATCACCTCCCCCTGCAGAAAAATCTACATTTCTAGAAAGAAGATGAGCACACCACAACAAAAAAACCAGACATTTTTCACTGTTTTATTTTCCTGCAGCAAATACAGGGGGAGACACTAGCAGTCCTCTCCACAGGGCCACTTGAACTTACACTGAATTTGGTTCCAAGCCCAGCAGGTGCTTCACATAATGAGGGGGCACTCCTCCATCATGTTGGGATTTTATCCTGGGACCTAGAGTGTGAGTAGCAATAAGGTCAGATACAGGTGAGTATACAATCTGGTGAAAGGTGGTTGGGGCCCTGTAACTACACCTGCAATAAAAATAAAGACAGTGTTTAAAGCACGTGTTTCCAACTTCATCCCCTCATTCCCTTAATTGCACAAGCAGTATACACAATGGCATGGTGTTCAGGTGGGAATACTACAACGGGCAACGGACATTTGGGGTGCAAATTGGGGCCATCCTGGCAAACTCCCGATTTGAGGGCTTTCATATTCGGAGACCAATGCAATGGAATGAATTGATTCTGGGTGGGATGTGGCCTCCACAGTTTCTTCTTTTTCTGACTTCTATGTTCCTCATCCACCTAGAGTTTCCTGTGACTGGTTCAACAACTTCCACACTTAAGCTTTCCCAGTTCACAGAGAATGATCTTCATGGGACTCCATTGCCTGAGTGTTTCCTTCTAAACAGTGTCATGTTTTAATAACTGGGAAGCTTGATATTTTAAAACTGAAAATTCCCATTACCACTGCCAACAAAGAAACTCTTTTTCTCCCACTTCTATCGAATGGCTGCATAATACCTATAGGATGAGAATCCATGTCTGGCCTTTGCCTGGTAATCTAGCTTCTGTTTCATTTCATCTGCACAGCCTTTTCATTGTGGAGGAGCTCATTCACTGGGCTGTTTCTCGATGTGACTTCCTCTTGCCACAGATTATTTAGCTGCCACGGATTTCAGAGGGCAAAAGGGACTTTGGGCAGGCTCCTGCCATCCAGGTTGTGGGTGGTTGCCTTATTGAGGGGCTAAGATTGCACTTTGCAGGAGAGTTTTCAGTTATCTGACAGGAATCACTGAACATTGCCTGGACTCCAGCACAAGGCAGCTCATTCTGTTAAGAAATGTCTTGATTTTTCTTTGCTTTCATGGGTATTTCACAGTGAATATTGACAGCACTAATATTCACCTTTTTCAGGCTTGCCATAACCACAGATGGCCTCGGAGACATTGTCTTAGCCTCATCTGCACCCATTGGAGGCCAGTCCAATGCGTGAGGACACTGCTCCTCCTTGTACTTGCCTTGTCATGGTAACTGCCTTTCCCAGAGATCCCCTGTTAGTCCCAAGATGAAGGGAGGCAGTGAGGTCAAGAACTCGGCCATCTTTTGCTGATACACACCTCTGGGGTTGGTCTCAGGTAAGATTCTATCACTCAAATAATCCTCAACCACACACCAGACTATATTGCAATCCCCATGTGACCTGATTCTTGTACACATATTCTCTTTTGGGAATGCAGTCAGAAAAGCTGTTTCCAGTGACCACTTCACAGTCTCAAAATGCCTTCTTCTCTAACAAAAACTGACCATGGAGACATCCCGAAGGGGCCCTGATATCAAGACTTTTAGGGTCCTGCAGTGGGTTTTTGCAGTCACGACTTTTTCTGATACCAAGCTCGCTCTGCCTGTACTATTTTTCTCTGCTTAGGCAGACTGATAGCTCTGACAAATGGGCACCGGAGCCTGTTTCACAAATGTGCATGCGCTAGACTCAGGGCACCAGGACTGATTGTGAGACCTTGCTAGCATCACAATGACTGTGACTGTTGCATACTGAGAAGTCCCTGAGGCTTGGCAGAGACGGAGACTTTCGTGGAGGTGCGTTAGCATTGAACTCTTGCCTGTGTTCTGGGTCTGGCTCAACAACTTCCACAACAAATATTTTCCTGTTCATGGAGAACGACCCTCACGAGAATCCATTGCTTGAGTGTTTTCTTCTAACCACTGTCACGTTTTAATGACTATGAAGCTCTGAGATTGTTAAAACTGTAAATTCCCATTACAGCCACCAATAAGAAAACTCTTGTTCTCCCATTTCTATCGAGGTGCTGCATAATTCCTGCAGGATGAAAAGCAGGCAGCCGTGTTTGTCTTTTTCCTTGTAATCTAGCCTCTGTTTCATTTCATCTGCATGGCATTCTTCTTGTGGAGGGTCTCTTTCATTGGGTTGTTGCTAGATGAGACTGCTTCTGGCTAGGGATTATTTAGCTGCCAGGGATTTCAGAGAGCAAAAGGGACATTGGGTACTCTGACTACACTCCCTATCATTGTCTTGTTGTGGGGGCTGAGAATATTTGCACGTGGCAAGAGGCTTTTGTGTTCTCTGACAGGAATCACTGAACACTACTTGGACTCCAGCACAAGGCAGCTCGTTCTCTTAGGTGAGACTTGATTTTTCTTTGTTTTCATGAGGAATCTACATTATCCCTTAACAGCACTACTGGACACCCATTTCAGGCTTGCTATCCCAACAAATGGCCTCTGAGACACTGTTTTAACCTCGTCTTCACCCAAGAGAGGGCAGTATGAGGTGTGAGAACAGTGATCCAACTTTGACTTGCCTTTGTTGTAGTTTCTGTCTTTCCTTGAGAGCCCCTGCAAGGTCATAGATGAAGGGAGGCAGTGAGGTTAAGAGTCCGACCATCTTTTCATGACACCCACTTCTGGGGTCTCAGGTATGATCCTATCACACAAAACACCCTCAAGAACACATCAGACTATATTTTAATCCCCATGGTACCCAATACTTGCACACAGCCTTTTTTGGGAATGGAATCTGAAGAGTAGTTTCTAGCGACCACCTCACAGTCACAAAATGCCTCCTCCTCCAGCAGAACCTAACCACCACGATGGCCTGAAGGGTCCCTGAGGTCGGGAGTTTTAGTGTGCTTCAGTGGGTTTTTGCAGACAGCCTTTTTCCTGATACCAGGACAACTCTGTCTGTACCATTATTGTCTACTTAGGCAGGCTGATAGCTCTGACAGCCATGCTCCCCAGCTTGCCTCACGAATGTGCATGCACTATCCTCAGGGCACCAGGCCTCATTGTGAACTCTGGCTTGCATCAGCATAAATGTCACCATTACCTAGCAACAAGTCTCTTCAGCTTGGTGAATGAGACTTCTGTAGAGGTGCGTCAGCAGTGAACTATCGCCTGTCTTCTCTGTGAGATCCACAGGATAGTCCCATGATCCTAGGAGAGGGCAGACATGAGGCAGCCTGAAGAAACCTGAAGCACAGCTCCAGGAATAAACCATGAAATCCCTAAGGATCCAAAAAGATCAGCAGGATTCCTCTGGCCTGCCTAGACATTGTAGGGATGAGTCTTCTTGAAACTTGCACCACTGTGATTTCTAACTACAGACTGCCTGCGTTTGCTTGTAGAACCACAGAGCCTCAGGGGATCCTGGATTGTGTGTTTCTGTGGG
This sequence comes from Homo sapiens, assembly GCF_000001405.40. NCBI lineage: Eukaryota > Metazoa > Chordata > Mammalia > Primates > Hominidae > Homo > Homo sapiens. The sequence goes on along the minus strand of NC_000024.10, from coordinate 6,447,267 downwards.
AGTGTTGTGAGTGTTGGATATCTGTGTGTTTGATGTCTGTGTGTCTGTGTGGCATTGGGTTTGTGTGTGTTTGTGCATGTGTTACTGTAAGTGGAGTCTGCTTATAAGAATGTGGCTAAGGCACTACAGCATTTCTTTCTTTCATTTTTTTGTATCCCAACCTTTTGGTGGCCTGTCTGTGTGGCTTGGCTTGGGCTGTATTGCTCAGTGTTCTTTATTTTTCTGTGAATCATTCATGAGTCTGCAGTGGATTGGGAAGCATGCCAAAATGTTTCAGCATCCAAATAACCTCCACCTGCAAAAACAAAACAAAAAAACAAACAAACAAAAAAACCACTCTAACCCCCTCTTCTAGACAGAAAGGGAGCACACATACAGAAAGTTTCCCAGTTCATAGAGAATTATCCTCATGGAAATCCATTTGTGAGTGTTTTATTCTAAACATTGTCATGTTTTAATGAGTGGGACGCTTTGATAGTTTTAAAACCATAAATTCCCATTAAAGCCATCCAGAAGAAAACTCTTATTCTTCCACTTCTATCAGAGGCCTGCGTGATTCCTGCAGGATGAGAAACAGGCAGCAGTGTCTTCATTTTCCTGGTAATCTAGCCTCTGTTTCATGTCATCTGCATGGCCTTCTTATTGTGGAGGGGCTCTTTCACTGGGATGTTGCCAGATTGGACTGCTTTTCACCATAGATTATTAAGTGGCCAGGGATTTGAGAGACCATAAAAAAGATTGGCTATTCTGGCTGCACTCCAGGTTTTGGGTTGTTGTCTCTTTTTGGGGGTTGAGGATGTTTGCACTTTGGAGGATGGTTTTGGGTCCTCTGACAGGAATCATTGAACATTACTTGGGCTCCAGCACAAGACCGCTTGATCTCTGGTGAGCCTTGATTTTCTGTTGCTTTCACAGGGAATCCACAGTGCCCATCAACAGCACTACTGGACACCATTTAAAGGCTTGTCATCACCACAGACAGCCTCTGAGACACTGTCTATACTCATATGCACTAGTGAGAGGCCAATCCGAGGTACAAGAACACCACTCCAACTTGGAATTGCCTTTGTCTTGGTTCCTGCTTTTCCCAGAGAGCCCTGTGAGGCTCAGAATAAAGGGAGGAAGTGAGGTCAAGAACCTGGACATCTTTCACTAACACCCAACTCTGGGATCTGAGGTATTATTTTATCACCAAAAGAACCCTCAACAACACACCAGATTATATGCCAATCCCCGCTGGACCCGATTCTTGCACATAGGTCTTTCCTGAATGGAGTCACAAGAGCAGTTTCCTGTGACCACCTCACAGTAACATAAAGCTTCTGCCTCTGGCATGACCCGATCACCAAGATGGACTGGAGAGTCCATCAGTTTGACAGTTTTAGGGTCCTGAAGTGGAGGTTTGCAGGCAGCCTTTTTTTTTGATACCAGGCTTGCTCTGCCTGTACCATTTTTCTGTGCTTAGATAGGGTGACAGCTCTGACAGCACAGTACCTAAGCCTCCCTCACAAATGTGCATGTGCTAGTCTCAGGGCACAAGGCCTGATTCTGAGCTCTGGCTAGCATCACAATACATGTCACCATTGCCTAGCAACAAGTCCCTGTGTCTTGTTGGAGAAGAAGATTTCCATGGAAGTGTGTTGGCTTTGGACTGTTGCCTGTCTTCTCTGTGGGATCCATGAGATAATCCCATGTTCCCAGGAGGGTACAGATGTGAGCCAGCCTGAAGTAACGTCAAGCAGAGCCGCAGGAATAAACCACAAAATCCCCAAGGATGCAAAAGATCTGCAGGATTCCTCAGGACTGCCTAGACATTGTAGGGGTAAGTCTTCTTGAAACTTGCCCCACAGTGATTTCTAAGTATATCCCGATTGTTTTTGGGTTGCTCTCTCCAAGGTGGGGATTCCTGCAGAACCATGCAGCCTCAGTAGCTGCCAGTGTGTGTTTATCTGTGGGAGTGTTGTGAGTGTTGTTTGTGTGTGTGTGTGGCATTGTGTGTGTGTGTGTATGTGCCTGTAAGTGGAGTATGCTTAAAATAATGTGGCTAATGCACTTCAGCACTTCTTTTTCGAATCTCCCAACATTCTGTTGTGTGGTCATTGTGGCTTTGCTTGGGCTGCAGGGCTTCATGGTCTTTATTTTTCTGTGGATCATGAATCTGCAGTGAATTGGGAGGCAAGTCGAAATATGCTGGCATCTAAGTCACCTCCCCCTGCAAAAAAAGCCACTCTCCTAGAAAGAAGAGGAGCACACCACACCAAAAATAAGGCATCTCCCAGTGTTTCATTGTCCTGTGGTGAACCCGGGGAGAAACACTAGCAGTCCTGTCTTCAGAGCTGCTTGAATTTACCTCATATTTGGTTCACAGCCAAGCATGTGCTTCATGTTGTGAGTGGCCACTCCAGCATTGCCTTGAAATTTCATCCTCGAACATAATGAGAAGCAATAAGTTCAGGTAGTGTTGAGGATATAATCTGGTGAGCAGTGCATGGGGTCTCACAACATCTCCTGCAAAAAAAAAAAGAAGACAGATGACCCAGAAGGTGCTTCCAACTCCATAGCCAGGTGTTCAGCTGGAAGTACTCCAACATGCAGGGAACATTTCAAGTATAAACTGGGGCCATCCTTTTAAACTCCTGATGTGCAGGCTTTCATACCCAGAGCCAAAGGAGAGTGTAATGGATTGATGCTGGGTGGTATGTGGCCTATACACTTGCTCTTCTTTTTCTGCCTTCCATATTCCTCTTCAGCCTAAGGTTTTCTGGGTCTGGATCCACATCTTCCATACCAAAAGTTTCTCAGTTCACAGAGGAAGACCCTCATGGAAATCCATTGCATGAGTGTTTCTTTCTAAACTCTGTCATGTTTTAATGAGTTGTCAGCTGTGATATTTTAAAAGCTTAAATTTCCATTACAGCTGCCAACATGGAAATTCTTGTTCTCCCACTTTTAACATAGGGTTGCATGATTCCTGTAGGAGGAGAAGCAGGCAGCCATTCTGCATTTGCCTGGTAAACTTGGCTTTGTTTCACTTCATCTGCATGTCCTTCTTCACTGTGGAGTGGATCTTTCATTGGCTCTTGCTGGATCGGACTGCCACTCGCTATAGATCTTTTGGCTGCCGGAAATTTCAGGAAGCAAAAAGAACTTTGTGTAGACTGGCTATGCTCCACGTTGTGTGTTGTGGTCTCCTTGTTGGGGAGCCGATGTTGTTTATGCTTTGCAGGAGGCTCTTGGGTACTCTGACAAAAATCTTTGAATATCGCTTGAACTCCCACACAAGTCTACTTGTTCTCTCAGGCAAACCTTCATTTTTCTTTGCTTTCATGGGGGGTCCACTTTGCACCTCATCAGCACTACTGGACACCATTTTCTGGCTTGCAATTGCCACAGACGACCTCTGATACAATGTCTCAATCTCATCTACACCCGTGAGAGGCCAGTTTGAAGTGTGAGAACAATGCTTTATTTTTGACTTGCCTTTGTCATGGTTCCTGCCTTTCCCTGAGGGCCCCTGAGATAAGCAGAATGCAGGGAGGCAGTGAGGTCAAGGGCCTGTCCATCTCTTGCTGACACCCACCTCTTAGGTCTCAGTGATGATTTCATTACCCAAAGACACCTCAAAGACTCACCAGATGGTATTCCAATCCCCAAGAGAGCAGACTCTTACACACAGTCTCTTTTTGGAATGGAGACAGAGGAGCAGATTGCAGCGACCACCTCACAGTCTCAAAATGACTCCTCTTTCAGTTGGACCTGACCATGGAGACTGCCCAAAAGGGCTCTAGAGTCTAGACCTTTTGGGTAAGGCAGTGGGTTATCTCAGGCAGCCTTTTATCCCACCCTAGTTCAGTTCTGCCTGTACCATTTTCCTCTGCTTAGTCAGGATGACAGCCCTGAGAGTTGGTTACCTGAGCCTGCCTTAAAATGTGCATGGGCTACTCTCAGGATACCAGGCCTGATTGTGAGCTCTAGCTAGCATCACAATAAATGTCACCATTGCCTAGTTACAATGCCCGTGGCTTGCCAGAGAAGAAGACCTCTATGTAGTTGTGTGGGCAGTGGACTGTCACCTGTCTTCTCTGTGAGATTTACTGGATAGTCTCATTACCCTAGGATAGGGTAGATGTGAACCAGCATGAAGAAAGGTAAAGCTGATCCCAGGAATAAACATTGAAAACCCTAAGAATCCAAAAATGTCTGCAAGATTTCATGGGCCTGCCAAGAAGTTTTAGGGGTGAGTCTTTTTGAAACTTGTCCCACAATGATTTCTAGGTACAGTTGCCCTGTGTTCGTTGGGGTTGCTCTCTCCTAGGTCGGGATTCCTGCAGAACCACACAGTCTCAGGTGCTGCCAGGCTGTATTTTTCTGTGGGAGTGTTGTGAGTGTTGGATGTCTGTGTGTGTTTTTGGCATCGTGTTTGTGTGTGTGTGTGTGTGTGTGTGTGTGTGTGTGCCTGTAAGTGGCTCTGCTTAAAATAATGTGGCTGACACACTTCTGAGCTTCTTCTTTTTTTTTTTCTTCCAACACTTTGTTGGCTTGGCTGTGTGGCTCTGCTTGGGTTATGGGTCCCTGTGTTCTTTATTTTTTGGAAGATCATAAATCCGCAGTCAATTGGGAGGCAGGTCGAGAGATGTCTGTGTCCAAGTCATCTCTCCGTACCAAAAAAAGCCAATCTTCTAAAAAGAAGAGGAGCACGTCACACCAAAAATGAGATATTGCCCAGTGTTTCATTGTCTGTCCTTTGGCCAAACGAGGGAGAGACATTAAGTGTCCTGTCTGCAGGGCCACTTGAATTTACCTCAAATTTGTTTCCCACCTGAGGAGGTGCTTTATGTCATGAGGGGGCACTCCACCACAGTCTTGGGATTTTATACTGGGACATAGAGAGTGAGCAGCAATAAGGTCAAATAGGGATGAGGATACAATCTGGTCAGGGTGGATGGGGTCCCACAACTACACCTGTAAAAATAGTGAAGACAGGTGACACAGAATGTGTTTCCAACTCCATCCCCGCATTCCCTTAATTGCACAAGCAGACAACAACATGGCTCGGTGTTCAAGTGAGAGTACTCCAATGTGCAAAAAATATTTGGACTGCAAATTGGGGCCAACCTGGCAAACTCCCGATTTGAGGGCTTTCATACTCAAAGCCAAATGGGAGTGGAATTGATGGATGCTGGGTGGGATGTGGCCTCCAGACTTGCTTCTTCTTTCACTGACTTCCATGTTTCTTGTTGGCCTAGGGTTTCCTGGGTATGGCTCAACCACTTCTACACTAAACGTTTCTCAGTTCATGGAGAATGATTATCATGGGAATCCATTGCATAAGTGTTTCCTTCTAAACACTGTCAAGTTTTAATGACTGGGCAGCTTTGATACTTTTAAAATCATAAATTCCCATTACCACCACCACCACCAAGGAAACTCCCACTTCTATTGGAGGGCTGCATAATTCCTGTAGGATGAGCACTTAGCCATGTCTTGCTTTTGCCTGGTAATCTATCCTCTGTTTCATTTCATCTGGACGGGCTTCTCATCATGGAAGGGCTCTTTCATTAGGCTATTGCTAGATGAGACTGCCTCTGGCCACAGATTAGCTGCCAGTGATTTCAAACAGCAAATGGGACTTCAAGTAGTCTGCCTATGCTCAAGGAGGTGGGTCCTTGTCTCATTGTTGAAACTGATGTGGTTTCCAAATTGCAAGAGGATTTTGGGTCCTCTGACAGGAATCATGAACATCATCTGGACCGCGGAACAAGGCAGCTCATTCTCCCAGGTATGCCTTGATTTGTCTTTGCTTTCCAGGGGAGTTCACAGTGCCCCTCAACAGCACAACAGGACACCACTTTCAGGCTTACCATCCCCACAGATGGCCGCTGAGACCCTGTCTCAACTTCACCTTCATGGGTGAAAGCCCAGTCCAAGATATGAGAACACTGCTCCACCTTGCCCTTGTTGTTGCTCCTGTCTTTCACAATGAGCCCCTGTGAGGCCCAGGATCAAGGAAGGCAGTGAGGTCAAGAGCACTGCTGTCTTTTGTTAACACCTGCCTCTAGATACTCAGGTATGATTCTATCGCCCAAGGAACCCTCAACAATACACCCAAGCACATTCCTATCCCCAGGGGACCAGATTCTTGCACATACCCTCTTTCTGGAATGGACAGTGACCAGCTCACTGCCTCAAAATGCCTCTTCCTCCACCGGGATCCAACCACAGAGATGACCCGAAGGGGCCCTGAGGTTGAGACATTTAGCATCCTGCAGTGGGTTTTCAGAGACAGCCTTTTTCTTGATACCAGGCTGGCTCTACCTGTTCCATTTACCTCTGCTTAGGCAAGCTGACAGTTCTGACAGCTGGCTGCTTGACCTGCCTCATGAATGCATGTGTGCTAGTCTCACAGAATCAGGCCTGATTGTGAGCTCTGGCTAGAATCACAATGAATGTCACAATTGCCTAGCAAAAAGTCCCTGTGGCTTGGCGGAGAAGGAGACCTCCTTGGAGGTGTGTCATCGGTGGACTCATGCCTGTCTTCTCTGTGGTATCCACGTGATTGTCTCATGATGCTAGGAGAGGGCAGATGTGAGCCAGCCTGTAGAAAGGTCAAGCACAGCCCCAGAAATAATCTGCAAAATCCCTAAGGATGCAAAAGGATCTGCAGGATTTCTCAGGCCTACCTAGATGTTGTAGAAGGGAATCTTTTTGAAACATGCCCCACTGTGAAGTACAGCCTGCCTGTATTTCTTGGGGTTACTCTCCCCAAGGTGGGAATCCCTGCAGAACCACACAGCCTAAGTTGGTGCTGGAATTTGTTTTTCTGTGGAAGTGTTGTGATGTTGCTTGTCTGCCTTTGTGTGTGGTATTGTGTATTTCTGTATGTGTGTTCCTGTAAGTGGAGTGTACTTAAAATAATGAGGCTAAAACACTTCAGCACTTCTTCATCTTTTTTTCTTTTTTTAGTCTCCAAACCTTTCTGGTGGATAACTATGTGTGTACGATTGTGTGTTTGTGTGTGTGTGACTGTAAGTGGAGTCTACTTAAAGGAATGTTGCTAATGCACTTTAGCACTTCCTTTTTTTTATTTTTTTGAGTCTCCCAACCCTTGGTGGCATGTCCGTTTGGCTCTGCTTGGGCTATAGGGCTCTCTTCCAGGTGGTGCTGCCTGCACAACAACACAACTTCAGTGGCTGCTGGGCTGTGTGTTTCTGTGGGAGTGTTGTAGTCTAGGATATCTGAGTGTGTGTGTGTGTGTGTGCGCGGCACTGTGTGTGCCAAAAAAGCCACTCTTCTAGAAAGAAGAGGAGCTTTTCTAGAAAAGAGACATCTCCAAATGTTTCATTGTCCTGTGGCCAACCCAGGGAGAAACACAAGCAGTCCTGTCCAAAGGGCCACTTGAATTTACCTTGAGTTTTGTTCCTAGCCGATCAGGTGATTCACATCTTTGGGGGGCAATTCGCCATCATTTTGGGATCTCAACCTGGGACATAAATTGTGAGCAGCAATAAGGTCATTTAGGCGTGAGGATACATTCTGGTGAGGGGTACATGGGGTTCTGCAACATCACCTGCAAATAAAATGAAGAAAAATGGCATGGAACGTGCCTTCAACTCCTTAGCCCAGAGTTCAGGTGAAAGTACTCCAATGTTCAGGGAACATTACAAACTGGGCCCATTCTGGCAAACCCTCAATGTGAGGGCTTTCATACCTGGAGCCAAATGAGAGTGTGATTGATTGATGCTGGGTGGTCTGTGGCCTCCACACTTGCCTCTTCTTTTCCTGACTTCCATGTTCCTTTTCAGCCAATGGTTTCCTGGGTCTTCCTCCATGTCTTCCACACTAAAATTTCCCAGTTCATGGAGGACAACCCTCATGGGAATCCATTGCTTGAGTGTTTCTTTCTAAACTCTGTTACGTTTTAATGACCGGGCAGCTGTGATATTTTTAAAGCGTAAATTCCCGATACAGCCGCCAACATGAAAAACCTTGTTCTCCCACTTTTATCAAAGGGCTACATGATTCCTGTAGGATAAGAAGCAGGCAGCCATGTATGTATTTGCCTGGTAATCTTGGCTCTGTTTTACTTCATCTGCAAGTCCTTCCACGATGTGGAGTGGATCTTTCATTGGCTCTTGCTGAATGGGACTGCTTCTTGCTACAAATCATTTGGCTGCCAAAAACTTCAGGAACCAAAAAGGATTTTTTCTATGCTGACTATGCTGTAGGTTGTGGGCCATGGTCTCCTTGTGGGGGCTGATGTTTTTTGGCATTTGCAGGAGGCTTTTAAATCCTCTGGCAAAAATCTTTCAACATTGCTTAGACTCCCGCACAAGTCAGCTTGTTCTCTCAGGTGAGCCTTCATTTATGTTTGCTTTCATGGGAGGCCCACATTGCTCTGCATCAGCCCTACTGGACACAATTTTTCTGGCTTGCAGTTGCCACAGACGGCCTCTGATATGGTGTCTCAACCTCATTTGCACCTGTGAGAGGCCAGTTTGAGGTGTGCAAACACTTTATCTTGGACTTGATTTTGTTGTGGTTCCTATCTCTCCCCAAGAGTCTCTGTGAGGTCCAGGATGAAGGGAGGCAGTGAAATCAAGGGGCTGGCCATCTTTTGCTGACATCTGCCTCTTGGGTCTCAGTTATGGTTCCATCACCAAAGGACCCATCAAAAACTAACCAGACATATTCCAATCCCCATGGGAATGGAATCTTGCACACAGCCTCTCTGGGGAATGAAGGCAGAGGTGCAGGTTGCAAAGACAGTTCACAGTCTCAAAACAACTCCTTCAGCAGAACTTGACCCCGGAGACTGCCCAAAACAGTCCTATGGTCTAGACTTTTTGGGTCTGGCCGTGGGTTATCACAGGCAGTTTTTCTGGCCATGCCAGGCCAGCTCTGCCTGTACCATTTTCCTCTGCTTAAGCAGGCTGACAGCTCTGAGAGACAGGTGCCTGATCCTTCCTCATGAATGCACAGGCACTAGTCTCCGTGGTATCCATGGGATTGTCCCATGATCCTAGCCTGGAGAAACATCAACCACAGCTCCAGGAATATACTGTGAAATCCCAAAGGATCCAAAAGTATACACAGGAATCCTCAGGTCTGGCATTGTAGGCGTGAGTCTTTTTGAAACTTGTCCCACTGTAATTTCTAGGTACAGTTCCCCTGTGTTTCTTGGTGTTGGTCTCTTGCAGATTAGGATTCCTGCAGAACCACACAGCGACAGGAGCTGCCCAACATTTATTTATTTATTTACTTATTTTGCAGGAGTGTTGCAAGTCTTGGATGTCTGCATGTGTCTGTGGCATTGTGTGTGTTTGTGTGCCTGTAAGTGGAGTGTGCTTAAAATAATGTGACTAATGTACTCAGTGCTTCTTCTTTTTTTTTTTTTTGCCTCCAAACATTTCTGGTGGAGTGTTGTGGGTGTTGGATGTCTGTGTGTGTGTGTGTGTGACATTTTGTGTTTGCATGTATGTGTGTGTGTGATTGTAAGTGCAGTCTGCTTAAAGGAATGTTGGTAATGCACTTCAGCACTTCCTTTTTTTGTGTCTCCCAAACTTTTGTTGGCTTGTCTGTGTGACTCTGCTTGGGCTGTGGGGCTCTCTCCCACATGGTGTTTCCTGCACAACAATGCATCCTGAGTAGTTGTTGGGTTGGGTGTTTCTGTGGGAGTGTTGCGAATGTTGGATGTCTGAGTCTGTATGTGGCATTGTGTGTGCCATAAACCACCCTTCCAGAAAGAAGAGGAGCACACTACACAAGAAAGAGATATCTTTCAGTGTTTTATTGTCTTTTGGCCAACCCAGGAGAGACACTAGCATTCCAGTCCACAGGGCCTCTTAAATTAACCTCGAATTCGCATCCCAGCCGAACAGGTGATTCATATGTTGTGGGGGGTGGGCACATTTTTTTATCATTTTGGGATTTCATCCTGGGACATAGAGTGTGGAGAGCAATAAGGTCAAATAGGGGTGATGATACAATCTGGTGAGGGGTGCATGGGTGACACAACTTTACCTGCAAGAGAAATGAAGACAGATGACACAAAAGGTGCTTTCAACCTCATGGCATGGTGTTCAGTTGGAAGTACTCCAAAGTTCAGGGAACATTTGGACTGCAACTGGGGATATCTTGGCAAACTCCAGATTTGAGGGCTTTCATCTCCACAGCCAAGTGGGAGTGAGATGGATTGAAGGTGGGTGGGATGTGGCCTCCACACTTGCCTCTTCTTTTTCTGACTTCCATGTTTCTCGTGGGCCTAGGTTTTCCTGGGTCTGGCTCCAAGTCTTTCACGCTAAATGTTTTCACTTCATGGAGGACAACCCTCATGGGAATCCCTAGTGTTTCCTTCTAAACACTGTCACATTTTAATGACTGGGCAGCTGTGATATTTTAACACCATAAATTCCCATTACAGCCACCAACAAGGAAAGTCTTTTTCTCCCACTTCTATTGGAGGGCTGCATGATTCCTGTAGGATGACAAGCAGGCCATCGTGTCTGGCTTTTAACTGGTAAACTACGATCTGTTTCATTTCATTTGCACGTACTTTCTCATTGTGGAGGGTGTCTTTCATTGGGTTGTTGCTGGATGGGACTGCCTCTTGCCACAGATCTTTTGGCAGCCAGAGATTTCAGGGAGCAAAAGGGAATTTGCATAGGCTTCTGTGCTCCAGGTTATGGGTCATGGTCTGTATGTGGACGCTGACGTTGTTTGAATTTTGCAGGAGGATTTGGGTCCTCTGATGGGAATCTTGAAACATTGCTAGGACTCCAGCACAAATCGGCTCATTCTCTCAGGAGAGCCTTGATTTTTCATTCCTTTCATGTGTGGTTCACTGTGTCCCTTAACAGCAGTACTGAGTACTTTTTTCAGGCTGGCAATCACCACAGAGGGCATTTGAGACATTCTCTTAGCATCATCTGAATGCATGATTGGCCTTTCGAGGTGTGAGAATGCTGCTCCACCTTGGACTTTCCTTTGTTGTTGTTCCTGGCTTTCCCAGAGAGCGGCAGTGAGGCCCAGGGTGAAGGGAGGAAGTGAGGTTAAGAACCCAGTCATCTTTCACTGACACCCACCTCTGATGTCTCAGGTTTGATTTTGTCAGCTAAAGACCCCTCAACAACACACCAGACTATATTCCAATCCCCATGGGACCCGATTCTTGCACACAGACTCTTTCAAAAATGGAGTCAGAAGAGTAGTTTTCAGTAACCACCTCAGAGTCTGGAAATGCCTCAGCCTGAAGGCAGCCCTCAGGTGGAGACTTTTAGGATCCCACAGTAGCTTATAATAGGCAGCCTTTTTCCCGATACCAAACATTCTCTGCCTGTATCATTTTCCTCTGCTTAGGCAGTCTGACAGCTTTGAGAGTTGGCTTCGTGAATGCCCATGTGCTTGTCTCAGGGCACCAGGCCTGAGCTGTGGTCTCTGGCTAGAGTCACAGTGAATGCCACCTTTACCTAGTGACAACTCCCTGCAGCTTGGCAGAAACGGAGACCTTCGTGGAGATGCTTTGGCTGTGGATTTTCCCCTGTCTTCCCTGTGGGATCCAAGGAATAGTCCCATGATGCTTTGAGAGGGCAGATGTGAGCCAGCCTGAAGAAATGTCAAGAAGAGCGCTGGAAATAAACCAAGAAATCCCTATGCATACAAAAAAAAAAAAATCTGCACAATGCCACAGGCTTGCCTAGAGATTGTAGGGTCAATCTTTTTGAAACTTGTCCCATTGTGATTTCTAGTTACAGCCCAACTATGTTCCCTAGGTTTGCTCTCTCCCAGTGGGGGCTTCCTGCAGAACCAGGCAGCATCAGAAGCTGCCAGGCTGTGTTTCCATGGGAGTGTTTTCTGCAAGTGTTAGATGTCTTTCTGTGTTTGTGGCTTGGTGTGTGTGTGTTTGCATGCATGCCTGTGTGTGTGTGTGCCTGTTAGTGGAGTCTGCTTAAAGAAGTATGGCTAATGAATTTCAGCACTTTTTTGGTGGGGGACTCAAAACCTTTTGGTGGCCTTTCTGTGTGTCTCTGCTTGGGGTCCAGAGCTCCGTGTTCTATGGATTATTAATCCACAGTGAATTGGAAGGTGGGCTGATACCTGCAGGCATCCAAGTCAGCTCACCCTGCAAGAAAATTGACTCTTCTAGAAAGAAGAGGGCACACCACACCAAAAAAGAGACATCTCCCAGTGTTTTATTTTCCTGTGGCCAACACACAGAGAGACACTAGCAGTCCTGTCTGCAGGTCCCCTTGAATATACCTTGAAATTCCCAGCCCAGCAGGCACTTCACATCATGAGGAAACACTCCTCCATCATTTTGGGATTTCCTTCTGGGACATAGAGTGTGAGCAGCAATAAAGTCAGATAGGAGGGAAGATACAATCTGATGAGGAGTAAATGGGGTTCTGCAACTTCACCTGCAAAAAAAATTACATGACACAGAAGGTGTTTCCAACACCATTCCCACATTCTTTTAATTGCACAAGCAGTCCATAAAATGACCCAGTGTTCAGATGGAGTCCTCCAATATTTCAGGAAAAGTTGGACTGCAAATTGGGGCTGTTTTGGCAAACTCCCAATTTGAGGGTTTTCATACCCAGAACCAAATGGGAGTGGAAAGGATTGATGTTGAATGGGATGTGGCCACTTTTCTCTTCTTTTCCTGACTTCCATGTTCCTTGTCAGCCTACAGTTTCCTGAGTCTGGCTTAATCACTTGCACACTAAAGGTTTCCCCCTGCATGGAGAATAACCCTCTTAGGAATCCATTGCATGAGTGTTTCCTTCTAAACACAGTTATGTTTTAATGACTCGGCAGGTTTGATATTTTTAAAATTGTAAATTGCCATTACTGCCGCCAACAAGGAAACTCACCGTACTATATTCCAATCCCCTTGGGACCAGATTCTTGCATACAGTTTCTTTTGGAAATGAAGTCAGAAGAGCAGTTTCCAGCCACCACTTCACAGTCCTGGAATGCTTCATACTCCAGTGGGACCCGACCATGTAGATCACAAGACGTGGTCCTAAGTTGAAGACATTTAGAGTACCGCAGTGTGTTATCTCAGGCAGCCTTTTTCTAAATACAAAGCTGGCTCTACTTGTACCATTTTCCTCTGCCTAGGCTAACAGGTCTGAGAGCTGTGTGCATGAGCCATCCTCGCAAATGCATATTCGCTAGTGTCAGGGGCACAAGGCCTTAGCTTTGAGCTCTGGCTAGCATCACCATGAATGTCATAGTTGCCTAAGTCTCTGCATCTTGGCAGCTGAGAAGGAGACTTCTGTGGAGGTGTGGATCCTCGAGATAGTCCCATGATCCTAGAAGAGGGCAGATGTGAACAAGCCTGAAGAAACATCAAGCAGAGCTTCAGCAATAAACCATGAAATCCATAAGGATCTAAAAGGATCTGCAGGATGACTCAGGCATGCCTAGATGTTGTAGGGGTGAGCCTTTTGAAGCCTATACCCCACTGTTTTTTGAAGGGTTTTTTGTGTGTCTATTTCCTTCAGTTCTGCTCTGATCTTAGTTATTTCTTGCCTTCTACTAGCTTCTGAATGTGTTTGCTCTTGCTTCTGTAGTTCGTTTAATTGTGATGTTAGGGTGTCAATTGTAGATCTTTCCTGCTTTCTCTTGTGGGCATTTAGTGCTATAAATTTCCCTCTACACACTGCTTTGAATCCAGGAGCTGGTTTTTTGAAAAGGTCAACAAAATTGATAGACTGCTAGCAAGACTAATAAAGAAGAAAAGAGAGAAGAATCAAATAGATGCAATAAAAAATGATAAAGGGGATATCACCACTGATTCCACAGAAATACAAACTACCATCAGAGAATACTATGAACACCTCTACAAAAATAAACTAGAAAATCTAGAAGAAATGGATAAATTCCTCAACACATATACTCTCCCAAGACTAAACCAGGAAGAAGTTGAATCTCCGAATAGATCAATAACAGGCTCTGAAATTGAGGTAATAATTAATAGCTTACCAACCAAAAAAAGTCCAGGACCAGATGGATTCACAGCCAAATTCTACCAGAGGTACAAGGAGGAACTGATACCATTCCTTCTGAAACTATTCCAATCAATAGAAGAAGAGGGAATCATGCCTAACTCATTTTATGAGGCCAGCATCATACTGATACCAAAGCCTGGCAGAGACACAACAAAAAAGAGAATTTTAGACCAATATCCTTGATGAACATTGATGCAAAAATCCTCAATAAAATACTGGCAAACCGAATCCTGCAACACATGAAAAAGCTTATCCACCATGATCAAGTGGGCTTCATCCCTGGGATGCAAGGCTGGTTCAACATATGAAAATCAATAAATGTAATCCAGCATATAAACAGAACCAAAGACAAAAACCACATGGTTATCTCAATAGATGCAGAAAAGCCCTTTGACAAAATTCAACAACCCTTCATGCTAAAAACTCTCAATAAATTAGGTATCGATGGGACATATCTCAAAATAATAAGAGCTATCTATGACAAACCCACAGCCAATATCATACTGAATGCACAAAAACTGGAAGTATTCCCTTTGAAAACTGGCACAAGACAGGGATGCCATCTCTCACCACTCCTATTCAACACAGTGTTGGAAATTCTGGCCAGGGCAATCAGGAAGGAGAAGGAAATAAAGGGCATTCAATTAGGAAAAGAGGAAGTCAAATTGTCCCTGTTTGCAGATGACATGATTGTATATCTAGAGAACCCTATAATGTCAGCCCAAAATCTCCTTAAGTGGATAAGCAACTTCAGCAAAGTCTCAGGATACAAAATCAACTTGCAAAAATCACAAACATTCTTATACACCAATAACAGACAAACAGCCAAATCATGAGTGAACTCCCATTCACAATTGCTTCAAAGAAAATAAAATACCTAGGAATCCAACTTACAATGGATGTGAAGGATGTCCTCAAGGAGAACTACAAACCATTGCTCAATGAAATTAAAGAGGATACCAACAAATGGAAGAACATTCCATGCTCATGGGTAGGAAGAATCAATATCATGAAAATGGCCATACTGCCCAAGGTAATTTATAGATTCAATGCCATCCCCATCAAGCTACCAATGACTTTCTTCACAGAATTGGAAAAAAAAATACTTTAAAGTTCATATGGAACCAAAAAAGAGCCTGCATAGTCAAGTCAATCCTAAGCCAAAAGAACAAAGCTGGAGGCATCACGCTACCTGACTTCAAACTATACTACAAGGCTACAGTCACCAAAACAGCATGGTACTGGTACCAAAACAGAGGTATAGACCAATGGAACAGAACAGCGCCCTCAGAAATAATGCCGCATATCTACAACTATCTGACCTTTGACAAACCTGACAAAAACAAGAAATGGGGAAAGGATTCCCTATTTAACAAATGGTGCTGGGAAAACTGGCTAGCCATATGTAGAAAGCTGAAACTGAATCCCTTCCTTACACCTTATACAAAAATTAATTCAAGATGGATTAAAGACTTACACATTAGATGAAAACCATAAAAGCTCTAGAAGAAAACCTAGGAAATACCATTCAGGACATTGGCATGGGCAAGGACTTCATGTCTAAAACACCAAAAGCAATGGCAACAAAAGCCAAAATTGACAAATGGGATCTAATTAAACTAAAGAGCTTCTGCACAGCAAAATAAACTGCCATAAGCATGAACAGGCAACCTACAGAATGGGAGAAAATTTTTGCAACCTACTCATCTGACAAAGGGCTAATATCCAGAATCTACAATGAACTGAAACAAATTTACAAGAAAAAAAACAAACAACACCATCAACCAGTGGGCAAAGGATATGAACAGACACTTCTCAAAAGAACACATTTATGCAGCCAAAAAACACATGAAAAAATACTCACCATCACTGGCCATCCGAGAAATGCAAATCAAAACCACAATGAGATACCATCTCACACCATTTAGAATGGGGATCATTAAAAAGTCAGGAAACAACAGGTGCTGGAGAGGATGTGGAGAAATAGGAACACTTTTACACTGTTGGTGGGACTGTAAACAGTTCAACCATTGTGGAAGTCAGTGTGGCGATTCCTCAGGGATCTAGATCTAGAAATACCATTTGACCCAGCCATCCCTTTACTGTGTATATACCCAAAGGATTGTAAATCATGCTGCTATAAAGACACATGCACACGTTTGTTTACTGCGGCACTATTCACAATACCAAAGACTTGGAACCAAACCAAATATCCAACAATGATAGACTGGATTAAGAAAATGTGGCATATTTACACCACGGAATACTATGCAGCCATAAAAAATGATGAGTTCATGTCCTTTGTAGGGACATGGATGAAGCTGGAAACCATCATTCTCAGCAAACTATCACAAGGACAAAAAACCAAACACCGCATTTTCTCACTCATAGGTGGGAATTGAACAATGAGAACACGTGGACACAGGAAGGGTAACATCACATACTGGGAATTGTGGGGTGGGGAGAGGCGGGAGGGATAGCATTAGGAGATATACCTAATGGTAAATGATGAATTAATGGGTGCAGCACACCAATATGGCACATGTATACATATGTAACAAACCTGCACATTGTGCACATGTACCTTAAACTTAAAGTACAATAAAAAAAAGAAACTTACCCCACTGTGATTTCTAGGTACAGCCCACCTGTGTTCCCCAAAGTTCCTCTCTTTCAGTTAGGGCTTCCTGCAGAAGCACGCAAACTCAGAAGCTGCCGTGCTGTGTGTTTCTGTGGAAATGTTGAAAGTGTTGGATGTCTGCATATCTGCGTGGCTTTGTGTGTTTGTGTGTGTGTGTGTGTGTGTTTATGTGTTTGTGTGTGGCTGTAAGTGGAGTCTGCTTAATGGAATGTGGATAACGCACGGCAACACTTCCTCTTTTTGAATCTCCAAACCTTTTGGTGGCCTGTTGGTGTAGCTCTGCTTGGGTTGCAGGGCTCCATCTCCGTTATTTTTCCGTGGAGTATGAATTCTCAGTGAATTAGGAGACAGCGCATCACACTCCAAAGCAAATATCTCTGTGTTTCATTGTCCTGCGGCAGACCCAGGGAGAGAAACTAGCAGAACTATCTGAAGGGCCCTTTGAATTTACTTTGAATTTGGTTCCCAGACAAGCAGAGGCTTCATGTCGTCATGTGGCACTCCTCCATCAACTTGTGATTTCATTCTAGGACAGAGAGTATGAGCAGAAAGAAGGTAAAATATGGGTGAGGATACAATCTGGTGAGGCGTAAATAGACTCCCGCACTTTCTCCCGCAAAAAAAACGTGAAGACTGATGACGCAGAAGCTGCTTCCTATTGCATCCCCACATTCCTTTAATTGCAGAAGCAGTTCACATTATGGCCCGGTGTTCAGGTGGGAGTAATACAATGTTCAGGGAACATTTGGAGTGCAAGTTGAGGGCATTCTAACAAACTCCCAATTTGAGAGCTCTCATACCCTGAGCCAAATGAGAGTGGGATGTATTGATGGTAGGTGGGATGTGCCCTGCACACTTGTCTCTTCTTTTCCTGACTTCCATGTTCCTCATGGCCTAGGATTTCCTGGGTCTGGCTTCACACTTTCCACACTAAGCAATTCACAGTTCATGGAGGACGACCTTCATGGGAATCCAATGCATGAGTGTTTTCTTCTAAACACTGTCACGTTTTAAAGGCTGGGCAGATGTGATGATTTTAACACTGTAAATTTTCATTACAGCCACCAACAAAGAAATTCTTATTCTCTCACTTTTACTGGAGGGATGCATGATTCCTGTAGCATAAAAAGCAGGCAACTATGTTGGGCTTTTGCCTGGAAATCTAGCCTCTGTTTCATTGCATATGCAAGTCCTTTCTCTTTGTATACAAGGTCTTTCACTGGGCTGTTGCTGGATGGGACTGCCTCTCACCACAGATCTATTGGCTGCCAGGGATTTCAAGGATGAAAAGAACTTCAGGTAGGCTGACTCCCTCCGGGTTGTGGTTTTTGGTCTCATTGTGAGTACTGAGGTTGTTTGCACTTTTCAGGAGGCTTTTGGGTACTCTGCCTGGAAACATTGAACATTGCTTGGACTCCAGCACAAAACAGGTCATTCTCTGAGGTGAGCTTTGATGTTTCTTTTCTTTCATAGAGAATCCACAGTACCCTACAAATGCACTGCTGGTCAGTTTCAGGCTTGCTATCACCACAGAGGGCATCTGATACATTGTCTCAACCTCATCTGCACCCGTGAGAGACCAGACCGAAGTGAGAACACTGACCCATGTTGGACTTCTCTTTGTCATGGTTTTTGCCTTTTGCAGAGGGCCCCATCAAGGCCCAGGCTGAAGAGAGACAGTGAGGTAAATAGCCCAGCCATCTTTCATTGGCACCCATCTCTGGGGTCTCACGTATAATTCTCTCACCCAAAGAACCCTCAGCAACACACCAGACCAAATTCCAATTCCCATGAGACCCGATTCTTGCAAAAAGCATCCTTTGGGAATGGAGTAGGAAGAGCAGTTTCCAGCCACCACCTCACAGTCTCAAAATGCCTCCTCCTCCAGCCGGTCTCAACCATGCAGATGGCCTGAAGGGGCCCTGAGGTCGAGACTGTAGAGTCTGACCATGGCTTCTAGCAGGCAACATTTTCACAACACCAGACCGGTTTTACCTGTACCATTTTTTCTCTGCTTAGGCAGGCTGACAGCTCTGACAGCCATGCACTTGTACCTGCCCCGGGAATGCATATGCACTAGTCTCAGGGTACCAGTTCTCATTGTGAACTCTGGCTAGCATCACAATGAATGTCAGCATTGCCTAGAGACAAGTTCCTGCCTCTTGAGGGAGAAGGAGACCTCGCTGTAGGCATGTCAGCTGTGGACTCTTGCCTGTCTTCTCTGTGGGATACTTGGGACAGTCTCATGATCCTACAAGAGGGCAGACATGAGCCAGCTGAAAGAAACATCAAACAGAGCCCCAGGAATAAACGGCAAAACCCCTAAGGATCCAAAAGATCGCAAGATTCCTCAGGCCTGCCTAGATGATGTAAGGGTGAGTTTTCTTGAAACTTGTTTCACTATGATTTCTAGTTACAGCCCACATGTTCCCCCGGGTTGCTTTCACCCAAATGGGGATTCCAGCAAAACCATGCAGCCTCAGAAGCTACCAAGTGCTGTGTTTCTTCAGGAGTGTTGCAAGTGTTGGATGTCTGTGTGTGTTTGGTATTGTGTATTTGTGTATGAGTGTGTTTGTGTGTGTCTATGTGTGCCTGTAAGTTGAGTCTACTTAAAGGAATGTGGCAAACACACTCCAGAGCTTCATTTTTTTGGATCTCCCAACCTTTTGTTGGCCTGTCTCTGTGGCTCTGCTTCGGCTGCGAGGCTTTGTGTTATTTTTTTTCTGTGGATCATGAATCTGCAGTAAATTAGGATGTGGGCTGGGACCCGCCAATGTCCAAATCACCTCCCCCTGCAAAAACAAACAAACAAAAAAACACACACACAAAAAAAAACAACACACTTCTAGAAAGAAGAGAAGCACACCACACCAAAAAACAGACATCTCCCAGTGTTTCAGTGTTCTGTGGCCAACCCAGAAAGAAACACTAGCAGTCCTGTATGCAGGACCCCTTGAATTTACATAGAATTTGGCTCCCAGCTGAGCATGTGCTTCATGTCATGATGGGGAACTCCTCTATCATCTTGGGATATCATCCTTGGACCTAGAATGTGAACAGGGAAAAGTTCAGATAGGGGTGAGGATAAAATCTGGTGAGGAGTGGATGGGGTTCTGCAACTTCATCTGCAAAAAAAAAAAATAATGAAGACAGGTAACAAAGATAGTTCTTCAAACTCCATCCCCTCATTTTCTTAATTGCACAATCTGTCTGCACCTTGGCCCAGTGTTCAGGTGGGAGTACTCTAATGTGCAAAAAACATTTGGACTGCAAATTGGGGCCATCTTGGCAAACTCTGGATTTGAGGCCTTTTATACCCAGAGTCAAATGTGAGTAGAATAGATTGATGATGTCTGGGATGTGGCTTCCACAATGGCCTCTTCTTTTCCTGACTTCCATGTTCCTTATAGGCCTAGGGTTTCCTGGGTCTGGCTCAACGACTTCCACATTAAACATTTCAGAATTCATGGAGAATGGGACTTATGAAAATCCATTGCATTAATTTTTCTTTCTAAACGCTGTCATGTGTTAATGACTGCATGGCTTTGAATTTGTTAAAACGATAAATTCCTGTTACAGCTGCCATAAGGAAACTCGTGTTCACCCACTACTATCAGAGAGATGCATGATACCTGAAAAGTGAGAAGCTGACAGCCGTGTCTGCCTTGGTCTTGTAATCTAGCCTCTGTTTGGCTGCCAGGGATTTCAGAGAGCAAAAGGGACTTTGGTTAGGCTGGCTGCACTCCAGGTTGTGATGCTTGTCTCATAGTGGGAGCTGAGGTTGTTTGCATTTTCCAGGAGGATTTTGGGTCCTCTGACAGGAATTATTCAACAAAGCTTGAACTCCTGCACAAAGCAGCTTGTTCTCTCAGGCAAGCCTTCATATTTTTATTTTTTATTTTTTTTTTGCTTTCACTGGGATTCAACAGTGCCCCTCAACAGCACTAATGGACACCCTTTTTAGACTCGCCATCACTGCAGATGTCCTCTGAGACACTGAATCTCATCAGCACCTGTGAGAGGCCAGTATGAGCTATGAGAACACTGCTCTACCTTGGACTTGCCTTTGTTGTTGTTCCTGCTTTTCCCAGAGGGCCCCTGCAAGGCCCAAAATAAAGGGAGGCAATGAGGTCAAGAGCCAGGCTGTCTTTCTTTGACATTCACACCTGGGGTCTCAGGTATGATTCTATCACTTAAAGAACCCTCAACGACACACCAGACAATTTTCCAATCACCATGGGACCCATTTCTGGCACACAGCCTCTTTTGGGAATGGATTCAGAAGAGCAGTTTCCAGTGACCACCTCACAGTCTGGAAATGCCTCTCCCTCCAGTAGGACCTGACCAGAGAGGTGGCCAGAAAGGGGCGGCCTTAGGTTGAGAGTTTTAGGATCCTGCAGTGGGTTTTCACAGGCAGCATTTTTCCCAATACCAGTCTGGCTCTGCCTGTATTATTTTCCTCTGCTTGGGCAGACTGACAGGTCTGATGGCCAGGCACCTGGGCCTGCCTCACGAATGTGCATGCACAAGTCTCAGGGCACCAGGACTGATATTGAGCTTTAGTGAGCATCCCAATGAATGTCATTGTTGCCTAGCAACAAGTCCCTTCATCTTTGCAGAGAAAAAGGCCTACGTGGAGCTGCGTGGTTGGTGAACTCTTGCCTGTCTTCTCTGTGGAAACCACAGGATAGTCCCATGAGCCTAGGAGAGGGCAAATGAGAGCCAGCCTGAAGAAACATCGACCACAGCACTAGGAATAAACCTCAAAATCCCTAAGGATCCAAAAAAATCGGAAGGATTCCTTAGGCCTGCCTAGACTTTGTAGGTGTGAGTCTTTTTGAAACTTGCAGTACTGTGATTTCTAGGAGCAGGCCACCTGTATTGCCTGGGGTTGCTCTATGCCACATTAGCTTCTTGCAAAACCACACAGCCACAGGAGCTGACAAACTGTTTCTGAAAGAGTGTTGTGAGAGTTGGATGTTGGCATGGGTGTGTGGCTTTGTTTTTTTTGTGTGTGTGTTTGTGTGTGCCTGTAAGTGGAGTCTGCTTAAGGAATGTGGCTACCACACTTTGGTGCTTCTTTTTTTAATTGAGTCTCACAAATTTGGTGGCCTGTCTGTGTGGCTCTGCTTGGGCCGCAGGGCTCCATGTTCTTTATTTTCCTGTGGCTCATGAATCCACAGTGAATTGGGGGCCGGGCTGAGACCTACCAGCATCCAAGTCACCTACCACAGCAAAAAAAGCCACTCTTCTAGAATGAAGAGGAGCACACCACACCAAAACAAAACAAAACAAAAAAAAAAAAAAAGAAAAAAAAAAACAGGCATCTGCCAGTGTTTCATTGTCCTGTGGCCAACCAAGAAAGAGACACTGTCAGTCCTGTCCTCATGGCCCCTTGAATTTACCAAGAATTCAGTTCACTGCCAAGCAGGTTCTTCTGGTCATGAGACGGCACTCCTCCATCGTCTGGGCATTTATCCTGGGACATACAGGGTGAGCAGGAATAGGGTCAGGTAGGAGTGAGGATACAATCTGGTGAAGGTTGGATGAAGCCCCACAACTTCACCTGCAAAAAAAACATGAAGACAGATGACACAGAAGGTGCTTCCAACTCAACCCCCACATTCCCTTAATTACACAAGTAGTCCACACCATAATGTGGGTTCAAGTTGGAGCACTGCAATGTGAAAGGAACATTTGGAGTGCAAATCCGGCCCATCCTGTCAAACTTCTGATTTGAAGGCTTTCAAACCCGGAGCCAAATGGGAGTGGAATGAATTGATGTTGGGTGGGATGTGGCCTCCAAACTTGCCTCTTCTTTTCCTCACTTGCATGTTCCTCATTGGCCTGGGGTTTCCTGGGTTTGGCTGAACAACTGTTACACTAAACATTTCTGAGTTCATGGAGAACATCCCTCATGGGAATCCACTGAGTGAGTGTTTTCTTCTAAACACTGTCACGTTTTAATAACTGGGCAGCTTTGATGCTTTTAAAACTAAATTCCCATTACAGCCACCAACAATGAAACTCTTCTTTTCCCTCTGCTCTCAGAGGGCTGCATGATTCTTGTATTATGAGAAGCATGTAGCTGTGTCTAGATTTTGCCTGGTAATCTAGCCTCTGCTTCATTTCATCTGCTCCTCCTTCTCATTGTGAATGGGTTCTTTCATTGGGCTGTTAATGGATGGGTATGCCTCTTGCCACAGATATTTTGGCTGCCAGGGATTTCAGGAAGCAAAATGGTTATAGAGTAGACTGGCTGCACATCGGGTTTTAGGTCATTGTCTTGTTGTGGGGTCTGAGGTTGTTTGCATTTTGAAAGAGGCTTTTTATTTCTGTGACAGGAATATTGGTACATTGCTTGGACTCTAGCACAAGTCAGCTCGTTCTTTCAGATGATGCTTGATGTTTCTTGGCTTTCATGGGGGATTCACATTGCCACTCAACCACACTACTGGATACACTTTTCAGGCTTGCCATCACCACAGATGGCCTCTGAGACACTGTTTGAACCACATCTGCACCTGTGAGAGGCCAGTTTGAGGTATGAGAACACTGTTTCAATTTGGACTTGCCTTTGTCTTGGTTCCTGCTTTTCCCAGATAGCACCTACCCAACCCAGGATGAATGAGTGCAGAGAGGTCAAGTGCCAGGCCATCTTTTGCTGACACCCTTTTCTGGTATTTCAGGTATAAGTCCATCATCCAAAGACTGCTCAACATCTCACCAGAATATATTTCAATCCTCATGGGGCATGATTCTTTCACAAAACCCCTTTCAGGAATGGAGTCAGAAGAGTAGTTTCCAGAGACAACCTCACAGTCTTGAAACGGCTCTGCCTCCCATGTGATCTGACCATGGAGATGGCATATAAGGGCCCTAAGTTTGAGACTTTTAGGGTACTGCAATGCGTTATCACAGGCAGCCTTTATCCTGATACCAAGCCAGCTCTGCCTGTACCATTTTCCTCTGCTTAGGCAGGCTGACAGCCCTGACACCCTGGTGCTCCAGTTTGAGTCACTATATGTGGATGTGCTAGTCTTAGGGCAATGGACCTGAGCTGTGAGCTGTAGCTAGTGTCACAATGAATGCCAGCTTTGCTAGTAACAATTCCCTTTGGCTTGGTAGAGAAGGAGACCTCTGTGGAGGTACAATGGTGGTGCACTGTCACCTGTCTTCTCTGTGGGATCCATGGGACAGTTCCATGATCCTAGGAGAGGGTAGATGTGAGCCAGCCTGAAGAAATGTCAAGCAGAGCCCCAGGAATGAAGCACAAAATCACTACAGATCCAAAAGGATCTGCAGAATTTGTCAGGCCTGCCTAGACATTGTAGGGGTTAGTCTTATTGAAATGTGTCCCACTGTAATTTCCAACTTCAGCCTTCCTGTGTTCCCAGCAGTTTCTCTCTCCCAGGTGGGGCTTTCTGCAGAATGACACAGCCTCAGAAGCTACTGGGCTGTGTGTTACTGTGGGAGTGTTGCGAGTGTTGGATGTCAGCATGTGTGTGTGGCTTTGTGTGTTTGTGTATGTGTCTGTGTGTGTGTATGTAAATGAATTCTGTGGATCAGGAATCAGCAATGACTAGTTAAGCTGTCTGTGACCAGCCGGGTTCCCCATCGTCTGCCCCTGCCAAAAAAACAGGTACTCTTCTACAAAGAAGAGGAGAGCACCACACCCAAGAACAGACATCTCCCAGTGTTGCATTATAAAGCAGCCAACCCACAGACACTAGCACTCTGGTCTGCATAGCCCCTTTAATTTACCTAGAATTCAGTTCCCAGCCAAGTAGGTGCTTCATGTCCTGAGGGTGCAATCCTCCATCATCTTGAGATTTCATGCTGGTACAGAGAGTGTGACAGCAATAAGGTCAGATAGGGGTGAGTATACAACCTGGTGAAGGGTGGATGGGGTCCCGTACCTTCACCAGCAAAAAGGGTGAAAATAGATGACACAGAATGTGCTTCCAACTCCATCCCCACATTCCCATAATTGCAAAATCAGTCAACAACATGGCCTGGTGTTTAGGTGGGAGTACTCCAACCTGCAGGAAAAATTTGGAGTGCAAATTGTGGCCAATCTGGAAAACTCCTGGTTTGAGGGTTTTAATACCTGTAGTCAAATGGAAGTGGAATAGATTGATGCTGGGTGGGTTGTGGCCTCCACATTTGTGTCCTCTTTTACTGACTTCCATTGTCCTCATTGGTGTAGGGCTTCCTGGATCTGGCTCAACATCTTCCACACTAAACTCTTCCCTGTTCACAGAAGACCATCATAAAAATGCATTGTGTGAGTATTTACTTGTAAACACTGTCACGATTTAATGACTGAGTTTCTGTGATACTTTTAAAATCATAAACTACTATTACAACCAGCAACAGGGAAACTTTTGTTCTCCCACCGTTATCAGAGGGCTGCAGGGTTCGTGAAGGAGGAGAACCAGGCAGCCATGTCTGGCTTTTGCCTTGTAATCTAGGCTCTGTTTCCCTTCATCTGCAGACTATCTTCCAGTCCCCATAGCTATCTGATTCTTCCACACAGCCTCTTTTGAAAATTGAGTCAGAGAGCAGTTTCCAAAGACCCCATCACAATCTCAAATTGCCTCCTCCTCCAGCAGGACCAAACCACTGATACAGCTGGAAGAGGCCCTGGGGTCAAGACATTAACAGTCCTGCAGAGGGTTTTCATATGCAGCCTTTTTCCTGACAATAGGCCATCTCTGCCTGTAACCTTTTCCTCTGCTTAGGCAGGCTGACAGCTCTGACAGCCTGGTGCCCAACCTGTCTCATGAACAAGCAAGCACCACTCTCAGAGCACCAGGCCTGAAAGTGAGCTTTGGCTAGCACCATAATGAACGTCACCATTGCCAGCAACATGTAATAGTCCCATGAATGTAGGAAAGGGCAGACATGATTCAGCCTGAAGAAACCTCAAGCAGAGCCCCAGAAATAAACTGCAAAATCCCTAATAATCCAAAATGATATGCAGGATTCATTAGGCCTGCCTAAATGCTGTAGGGGTGAGAATTTTTGAAAAGTGCCCCTAGGTGATTTTTAGGTACATCCTTCTTCTGTTCTCCGAGGTTGCTCACTCCAAGGTGGGGCTTCCTACAGAACCACTGAGCATCAGGAGCTGCCAGGCTGTGTGTTTCTGTGGGACTGTTGCAAGTGTTGGATGTCTGCATGTGTGTGTGGCATTGTGTGCTTGTTGGTGTGTGTCTGTGTGTGTGTGCTTTTAAGTGCAGTCTGCTTAAAGGAATATGGCTAACACACATCAGTGCTTCTTTTTTTTTAGTTTTCCAACCTTTTTGTGGCCAGTCTATGTGGCTCTGCTTGGGGTTTGGGGCTCCATGTTCTTCATTTTCCTGTGGATCATGAATCCACAGTGAATTCAATGGCAGCTGAGATACCCCGGCATCCAAATCACCACCCCTGTGAAAAAAGCCACTCTTCTAGAAAGAAGAGGAGCAAACCACACCAAAAACAGACAACTCCTAGTTTTTCATTATCTTGAGGCAAACCCAAGGAGAGACACTGTCAGTCCTGTCCACAGGGCCCCTTGAATTAACCTCGAATTCAGTTGTCAGCCAAGCAGGTGCTTCATGTCATAAGGGGGAAAGCCTCCATCATCTTGGGATTTCATCCTGAGAAATAGAGTGTAAGCAGAAATAAAGTCAGATAGGGGTGTGGATACAATCTAGTAAGGGTTGGATGGGGTTCTGCAACCCCACCTGTAAAAAAATATGAATACTGATGACAAACAAGGAGCTTTCAACTCCATTTCCACATTACTTTAAGCACCAGCATTCCACACCATGGCCCACTGTTCAGTTGGGAGTACTCCACAGTAAAAGACCATTTGGAGTGCAAATTGAGGCCGTCCTGGCAAACTCCAGATTTGAGGGCTTTCTTACCTGGAGTCAAATGGAGGTGGAATGGATTGATGCTGGGTGGGATGTGGCCTCCAGACTTGCCTCTTCTTTTCCTGACTTTCATGTTTCTCATGAGCATATGGTTTCCTGGGTCTGGCTCAACGACTTCCACACTAAACATTTCCCAGTTCATGAAGAACAACCCCCATGAGAATTCATTGCATGAATGTTTCCTTCTAAACACTATCAGGTTGTAATGACTGGGGAGCTTTGATACTTTTAAAACCATAAATTCCCATTACTGCCACCAATAAGGAAACTCTTGTTTCTCCCACTTCTACCAGAGGGTTACAGGATTCCTGTAGGATGAGAAGCAGGCAGCCATTTCTGGCTTTTGTCTGGTAATCTAGCCTCTGTTTTATTTCTTCTGCACTGCAGTCTCATTGCGGAGGGGCTCTTTCATTGGGCTGTTGCTGGATGGAACGGCCTCTTGCCACAGATTATTTGGTTGCCAAAGATTTCTGAGAACCAAAGTGACCTCAGGTAGGCTGGCTGAGTCCAGGTTGTGTGTCATTGTCCTGTTGTGGGGACTGAGATTGTTTGCACTTTGTCAGAGGCTTTTGAGCCCTCTGATATGAGTCATTGAACATTGCTTGGACTCCATCACAAGGTAGCTCATTCTTTCAGGTGAGCATTGATTTTTCTTTGCTTTCATGGGGAATCCACATTGCCCCTCAACAGTAGTACTGGACACCATTTTCAGGCTTACCATCACCACAAACAGCCTCTTAGACACTGTCTCAACCTCATCTGCACCTGTGAGTTGTGAGCCCCAGGTGTCAGCACACTGCTTTACTGTGGACTATCCTTTGTCGTGGTTCCTGCCTTTTGCAGAGAGGCCCTGCAAGGACCAGGATGAAGGGAGACAGTGAGGTCAAGAGCCCAGCCATCTTTCACTGACACCCACTTCTGGGTTCTCAGGTAAGTTCCTATCACCAAAATAACCCTCAACAACATACCAGACTATATTCCAATCCCCAAGCGACCTGATTCTTACACAGCCTCTTTTCAGAATGGAGTCAGAAGGGCAGTTTCCAGAGACTCACTCACAGTCATGAAACACCTCCTTCTCCAGAGAAACCTGACAACGGAGATGGCCCAAAGCATTCCTGAGGTTGAGACTCTTAATATCCCACAGTGGATTTTTGCCAGCAGCCTTTTTCATGATACCAACCTGGCTCTGCCTGTACCATTTTTTTCTGCTAAGGCAGGCTGACAGCTCTGACAGACAAGTTCCTACGCTGACATCACGAATATGCACATGCTTGTCTCAGGGCACCAGGCCTGATTGTGAGCTTTGGCTAGCATCACATTAAATGTCACCGTGGCCTAGTGACAAGTCCCTGCTACTTAGCTGAGAAACAGGCCTCTGTGAAGGTGCAGTGGTGTTGTACTCTTGCTTGTTTTCTCTGTGGGATCCATGGGATAGACACATGATCCTAGGAGAGGGCAGGCATGAGCCAGCCTGAAAAAATTCAAGCATAGCCCAAGGAATAAACTGTGAAATCCCCAAAGATCCAAAAGTATTTGCAGGATTTCTCAGTTCCACCAAGATATTGTAGAAATTAGTCTTCCAGAAACTGCCCCACTGTGATTTCTAGATACAGCCCCCAGTTGTTCCCCAGGATTGATGTCTCCCAGGTGGGGTTTCATGAAGAACCACACAGCCTCTAGAGCTGCTGGGCTGTGTGTTTCTGTAGGAGTGTTGCAAGTGTTGGATGTCTGCATGTGTGTTTGTGTCTGTGTGTGTTTGTGTGTGTGTGCCTGTAAGTGGAGTCAGCTTAAAGGAATGGGGCTAACACACTCCAGCATTTCTTTTTTTTTTGAGACTCCTATCTTTTGTTGGCTTGTGTGGCTCTGCTGGAGCTGCAGGGCTCCATGTTCTCTATTTTTCTGTTGATCATGAATCCATGGTGAACTGGGAGGTGGCCTGAGACCCCCCGGCATCCAAATTACCTCCCCTTGAAATAAAAAAAGGCCCTCTCTAGAAAGAAGAGGAGCACACCACACACACACACAAACAAACATATCCCAGTGTTTTCTCATCCTGTGGCCAAATCAGGGAGAGACACTAGTCATCCTGTCTTCAAGGCCCCTTGAATTTACCTCGAATTCAATCAGATGCTTCACATCATGAAGGGACACACTTCTATTGTCTTGGGATTTCATCCTGTGAAATAGAATGTGAGCAGCAATAAGGTCAGATAGAGGTGAGTATATAATCTACTGAGGGGTGGATAGAGTCCCACAATTTCACCTGCAAAGGAATTGTCCACACCATGTCCTGGTTTCAGGTGGAATTACTTCAACCTTCAAGGGACACTTGGTATACAAATTGGGGCCATTCTGGCAAACTTCTCACATGAGAGCTTTCATATCTCAGCCAAATGGGGGTGGAATGCATTAATGCTGTGTGCAATGTGACCCCTAAACTTGCCTCTTCTTTTCCTGACTTCCATGTCCATCATTGGCTGAGGGTTTACTGTGACTGGCTCGATGACTTCCACACTAAACATTTCCCAGTTCACAGAGAATCACCCTCATGGGAATCCATTGCATGAGTGTTTCCTTCTAAACAGTCATGTTTTAATGACTGGGCATCTTAGATACTTTTAAAACAATAAATTCCCATTACAGCTGCCAGCAAGAAAACTCCTGTTCTCCCTCTTCTATTGGAGGGCTGCATGATTCCTGAAGAATGAAAATCAGGCAGCCATGTCTGGCTTTTGCCCAGTAATCCAGCATTTGTTTCATCTCATCTGCACCACCTTCTGATTGTGGAAGTGATTTTTTATTGGGCTGCTGCTGGATTGGACTGCTTTTCACCACAAATTATTTAGCTGCCAGGGATTTCATAAAGCAAAAAGGTCTTTGGGTAGGCTGGCTGCACTATAGGTTTTGGGTCATTTTCTCATTGTGGTGACTGAGGTTGTTAGCACTTTGCAGCAGGGTTTTGGGTCCTCTGACAGGAAATATTGAAAATTTCTGGGCTCCATCACAAGGCAGCCCATTCTCTCTGGTGAGCAT
The DNA here is from genome assembly GCF_000001405.40 of Homo sapiens. Classification (NCBI taxonomy): domain Eukaryota; kingdom Metazoa; phylum Chordata; class Mammalia; order Primates; family Hominidae; genus Homo; species Homo sapiens. The sequence continues at coordinate 6,417,658 of NC_000024.10, read as the reverse complement.
TGATTTTTCTTTGTTTTCATGTTGAATCCACAGTGCCCCTCAATAGCACCACTGGACACTCTTCTCAGGCTTGCCATTGCCACAGACAACCTCTGAGACATGGTCTCAATTTTATCTGCACCCATGAGAGGCCAGTCCAAAGTACTGTTTCACATTGGACTTGGCTTTTTCATGGTTCCTTCCTTTCTCAAAGAATCCCTGCAAGGCCCAGGATGAAGGGAGACAGTGAGGTCAAAAGCCTGGCCATCTTTCACTGACACCCCATCGTATTCGATTCTGGCACACAGCCTCCTATGGGAATGAAGCTGGAAGAGTGGATTCCAGTGACAACCTCACAGTCTTGAAATGCATCCTCCTCCAGTGGGACCCGACCACAGAGGCTGCCTGAAGGGGCCCTGAGGTTGAGACTTTTGGGGACCCACAGTGGGTTTTCACAGGCAGCATTTTTTCTGATAGTATGCCAGCTCTGCCTCTACCATTTTTCTCTGCTAGTCAGACTGACAGCTGTAAGAGCTGGGTGCCCGAGCCTGCTTCATGAATGCACATGCACTATTCTCCAGGTCAGACTGTGAGCTCTGGCTAGCATCCCAAAAATATCACCACTGCCTAGCCACAAGTCCCTGCCTCCTGTCAGAGAAGGAGACCTCCGTAGAGGTTTGTCCATGGTGAACTGTCACCTGTCTTCTCTGCAGAATCCGCGGGATAGTCCCATGATCCTAGGAGATTTCAGATGAGAGACAGTGTGAGGAAATGAAAGCATAGTCCCAGGAATAAACTGCAAAATCTTTAGGAATCCAAAAGGATCTGCTGTTTACCTCAGGCCTGCCTAGATGTAGGTGTGAGTTTTTTTGAAACTTGCCCCCATGTGATTTCTAGTTACAGCTCGCCTGTGTTCCCCAGGGTTGCTCTATGCCAGGTGTGGCTTCCTGCAGAACCACACAACCTCAGAGGCTGCCAGACTGTGTGTTTCTGTGGGAGTGTTGTGAGTGTTGAAAGTCTGTGTATGTGTGTGGCATTGTGTGATTGTGTGTCTCTGTGTTTGTGCTTGTATGTGCAGTCTGCTTAAAGAAATGTGGCTATCACACTTCACTGCTTCTTTTTCTGTGTCTCCAAACCTTCTGTTTGGCCTTTATGTGTGGCTCTGCTTGGCTTGCGGGGCTCCATGTTTTTAAATTTTCTGTGTATCGTGAATCCGCAGTGAATTGGGAGGCGGGCAAGGATCCACTGGCATCCAAATCACCTCCTCCTGAAAAAAAAGTCCACTTTTCTAGAAAGAAGAAGGACACACCACACCACAAAAAGTGGAAAAATTGACATCTGCCACATTTCATTGCCCTGCTTCCAACCCAGGGAGAGGCAATTAAAGTCCTGTCTGCAGGTGCCCTTGAATTTACCACAAATTCAGTTTCCAGCCATGCAGGTGCTTCAAATCATGAAGGGTCCCTTCTCCATTGTCTTAGGTTTTCATTCTGGGACATTGAGTGTGAGAAGGAATAAGGTGAGACTGGAGTGAGGATACAATTAGATGAGGGGTGGAAGGGGTCCCACAACTTCCCATGCAATAAAAATGAAGACAATTGATGCAGGAGGTGATTCTACGTCTGTACTCACATTTAATTAATTGCACAAACAGTCCACACCATGGCCCCAATGTTCAGGTGGGAGTTCTGCAATGTGCAAGGAATATTGGAAGTGCCAGTTGGGACCATCCTGGCAAACTCTGGATTTGAGGTCTTTCATACACGGAGGCAAATGGGAGTGCAATGTATTGATGCTGGGTGGCATGTGGCCTTCACACTTGCCTCTTCTTTTCCTTTCTTCCATGCGCCTCATTGGCCTAGGGTTTCCTGGGTCTGGCTCAACAACTTCCACACTAAACATTTCCCAGTTCATGAAGAATGACCCTCACTGGAATCCATTGTGTGAGTGTTGGTTTCTAAGCATTGTCACATTTTAATGACTGCACAGCTTTAATATTTTTAAAACTGTAAATTTGTATTACAGTCACCAACAAAGAAACCCTTGTTCTCCCACTTGCATCAGAAAGCTGCACGATTTCTGAAGGATAAGAAGCAGGCAAACATGTCTAGCTTTTGCCTGGTAATCTAGTCTCTATTTTATTTCATCTTCACGGCCTTCTCATTGTGGGAGGGCTGTTTCTTTGGGCTGTTCCTGGATGGGACTCCCTCTCTCTACAGTTTAATTAACTGCCAGGAATTTTAGACAGCAAAAGGGACTTTGTGTATGCTGGATGGGCTCCATGTTGTGATTGTTGTCTCGTTCTGGGGGCTGAGGTTCTTTGCACTTTGTGGGAGGCTTTTGCGTCCTCAGACAGGAATCGTTGAACATTGCCTGTACTCCAGCACAAGGCAGCTTGTTCTCTCATGCGAGCCTAGATTTTTCTTTGCTTTCATGGGGGATCCACAGTGTCCCCCAACTGCACTACTGCACATACTGTTCACCCTTGCCATCACCACAGATGACATCTGAGACACTGTTTCAATGTCATCTGTGCCCTTGAGAGGCCAGTCTGAGGTGTAAGAACAGGTCAAGTGCCGCCTCTGGGGTTTCAAGTATGATTCTTTTACCCAAAAAACCCTCAACAAAGTCTGATTCTATCACCCAAAAACCCCTCAACAGCACGCCAGACTATAAACCAATTTCCATGGGACCTGATTCTGACACACATTCTCTTTTGGGAATGGAGTCAGAACAGCAGTTTCCAGAGACCACCTCACAATCTCAAAATGCCTTCTCCTCCAATGGGACCCGATCACAGAGACGGACGAAGGGGCCCAGAGATGGAGACTTTTTTGGGTCCAGCAATGGGTTTTCACAGGCTGCTTTTTTTCTGATACCAGGCAGGTTCTGCTGTACCATTTTCCTTGGTTAGGCAGGCTAACAGCTCTGACAGCCAGGTAAGTGAACCTAACTCATGAATGTGTTTGCACTAGTCTTGGGGCACCAGACCTGATTGTGAGCTCTTTTGAGCATCACAATGAATGTTATCATTGCCTAGCAACAAGGCCCTGAGGCTTGGTGGAAAAAGGAGACCTTCATGGGGGTGCATCTGCAGTGGACTCTGCTTTTATTCTCTGTGAAATCCATGGCATAGTCCCACAATCCTAGGAGAGGGCAGAAGTGGATTCCTCAGGCCTGCCTAGACATTGTAGGGGTGTGTTTTTGAAACTTGCCCCACTGTGATTTCTAGTTACAGCCCCCCTTGTGTTGTGCATTGTTGCTCTATGCCATGTGGGGTTTCCTGCAGAACCACACAGCTTCAGGCGAGACCAGGCTGTATGTTTCTGTGGGAGTGTTGCAAATGTTCAAAATCTGCATGTGTGTTTGTGGCATTGTGTGTTTGTGTGTGTGTGCATGTGTGTGTCTGTAAGTGGAGTCTGCTTAAAGGAATGTAGCTATTGCACTATAGCATTTTTTTTGAGTCTCCAAAAATTTTGGTGACTTGTCTCTGCTGTTTTACTTGGTATGTGTGTTCTTTATTTTTCTGTGGATCATGAATGCAGTTAATTGAGAGGCTGGCTATGACCTGCTAGGGTCCAAGTCCCCTCCACCTGCAAAAGTGTCACTCTTCAGGAAAGAACAGGAGAAAACCACACCTAAGAATAGACATCACAATGTTTTTCATTGTTCTGTGGCCATCCCAGGGAGAGACAATAGCAGTGTTGTTCACAAGACCCTTTGAATTTACCTAGAATTTGGTTCCCAGGAGAGCAGGTTCTACATGTCATGAGGGGCAACTCCTCCATCGTTTTGGGATTTTTTTTCTGGAACAGAGAGTGTGAGCAGCAAAAAGAACAGTTAGGGGTGAGGATACAATCTGCTGAGGGGTGTATGGGGTCCCACACCTTAGCTTGCAAAAAAGTTTAAAACAGATGACACAGAAGGTGTTTCCAACTGCATTGCCAAATTCCTTTAGTTGCAAAAGCAGTCCACACAATCCCCATTGTTCAGGTGGGAGTACTCCAACGTTCAGGGAATATTTGGAGTGCAAACTGGGGCCATCCTCACAATCTCCCAATTTGAGGGCTTTTATATCTGAAGCATAATGGGAGGGCAATCGATAGATACTGGGTGGCATGTGGCCTCCACACTTGCCTCTTGTTTTCTTGACTTCCGTGTTCCTTTTCAGCATAGGGTTTCCTTGGTCTGGCTCAATTTCTTCCAAACTAAATGTTCCCAGTTCATGGAGGACGACCCTCATGGGAATTCATTGAGTGAATGTTTCCTTCTAAACACTGTCACGTTTTAATGACTGGAGAGTTGTGATACTTTTAGAACTGTAAATTCCCGTTGCAGCCACCAACAAGGAAACTCTTGTTCTCCCACTTCTATCAGAGGGCTACACAGTTTCTCTAGGATGAGAAACAGGCAGGCATTTCTGTCTTTTGCCTGGAAATCTAGACTCTATTTCATTTCATCTATATGTCCTTTCTTATTGTGGAGGGGATCTTTCATTGGGCTGTTTCTGGATGGGGGTGCCACTCACCACAAATCTTTTGGCTGCCAGGGATTTCTGAAAGCAAAAGGGAATTTAGGCAGGCTGGCTGAGCTCCAGCTTGTGGGTCATGGTCTCATTGTTGCAGCTGAGGCTGTTTGCAATTTGCAGGAGGATTTAGGGTCCTGTGACAGAAATCTTTGAATGTTACTTGGACTCCAGCACAAGTCAGGTGGTTCTCTCAGGCAGGCCTTGAATTTTCTTTGCTTTCATCTTGGGTCCACAGTGCCCCTCAACAGCATTACTGGAAACCCTTTTTAGGCTTGCATTCATCACAGACGGGCTCTGAGACACTGTCTCAACCTCATCTGAATCCGTTAGGGGTCAGCTCGAGGTCAGAGAACACTGCTCTGCCTTGGACTTGCTTTTTTCGTGGTTCCTTCCTTTCCCAGAGGGCCTCTGCAAGGCCCAGCATGAAGGGAGGCAGTGAGGTCAAGAGCCCAGCCATCTTTTGATGACACCCACCTCTGGTCTCTCAGGTATGATTCCACCACCCAAAGAGCCCTCAACAACTCACCAGAATATATTCTAACCTCCATCTGTCCAGACTCTTGCACACAGCCTTTCAGGAATGGAATCAGAGTAACACTTTCCAAAGACCACCTCGTAGTCTCGAATCACCTCCTTCTCCAGTGGGACCTGGCCACAGGAATGACTTGTAGAGGCACTACAGTTGAGACATTTATGGTCCCTCATTGAGTTATTGTAGGCAGCATTTTTTTCAATACCGTGCCGGCTCTTCCTGTATCTTTTTTTTTCTTTTTTTTTTAGGCTGGCTGACAGGTCTGACAGCCCATCACGAAAGCCTGCATACTCTTAGACACAAGGACTGAGCTATGGGCTCCAGCTAGCATCACAATGAAGGCCACCATTGCCTAGGGATAAGTCCCTGTGACTTTGTGGATAAGAACTCCGTGGAGGTGAGTCAGCGGTGGACTCTCGCCTATCTTCCCTGTGGGATTCCCACGATAGTCCCATGGGCCTAAGGAGAGGGAGCAGGTGAGTCAGCCTGAAGAAAAGTCAAGCACAGCCCCAGGAATAAGCCACAAAATCCGTACAGATCCAAAAGAATCTGCAGGATGCCTCAAGCCTCCCAGACTTTGTCGGGATGAGTCTTTTTAAAACTTACCATACTGTAATTTCTAGGCACAGGCTGCCTGTGTTCCCTGGGGTTGCTCTTTCAAAGGCAGGGCTTCCTGCAGAACCAAGAAGCCTAAGAAGCTGCTGGGCTGTGTGTTTTTGTGAGAGTGTTGCAAATGTTGGAAATCTGCATGTATGTGGTAGTGTGTATGTGTGATTGAGTGTGTGTGTGCCTGTTAAGTGGAGTCTGCTTAAAGGAATGTGGCTAATGCACTGCAGTGATTCTTTTTTCTTTTTTTTTTTTTGAGTCTCCAAACATTGTAGTGGCCTGTATGTGTGGGTCTACTTGGGCTGCTGGGATCCATATTCTTTATTTTTCTGAGGATCATGAATCTGCAGTGAATTGGCAAGCTGGCTGAGAAACACCACTGTCCAAATCACCTTCCTTTGCCAAAAAAGCCACTCTTCTAGAAAGAACAGAAGAACACCACAACCAAGAACAGAAATATACCAGTGTTTAATTGTCTTTCAGCCAATCCAAGGAGAGACACTATCATTCATCTCTACCGGGCCTATTAAATTTACCTCGAATTTGATTCCCAGAGGAGTTGGTGCTTCACATCATCAGGGGGAACTTCTCCATTGTCTTGGGATTTCAGTCTGGGATAGAGACTTTGAACAGCAATAAGGTAATAAGGTCAGATAGGGGTGGGGATACCCCTCTGGTGAGGGGTGGATGCCATGCTGTACCTTCACCTGCAAAAAAAGAAAAAAAAAAAAGAAGACAGATAACACAGAAGTTGCTTCCAACTGCATCCCAGCATTCTCTTAGTTGCACAAGCCGCACATACCATGGCCCTGTGTTCACGCGGGAGTACTCCAACGTGCAGGGGACATTTGGAGTACAAACTGGGGCCAAGTTGGCTAACTCCATATTTGAGGGCTTTCATACCCAGAACCAAATGGGACTGGGAGGGATTGATGCTGGTGGCATGTGGCCTCCACACTTTCATCTTTGCATTCTGACTTCCATGTTCCTCATCGACCTAAGGTTTCCTGGGTCTGGATCTAAGTTTTCCATAACAAGCATTTCCACTTCACAAGGATGATCTCATGGGGATCCATTGTGTGATTATTTCTTTCTAAGCACTGTCTCAGTTTAATGTCTGGGCAGCTGTGATAATTTTAAAACAATAAATTCACATTCCAGTGGCCAAGAAGGAAACTCTGTTTCTCCCACTTCTATCGGAGAGCTGCATGATTCCTGTAGGATGAGAAGGAGGCAGCCCTGTGTGGCTTTTTCTGGTAATCTAGGATCTGTTTTATTAGATCTGCCCATCCTTTCTCATTGTGGAGGGTTTCTTTCACTGTGCTATAGCTGGGTGGGAGTGCCTCTTGCCAAATATCTATTGGTTGCCAGGGATTACAGGGAAAAATAGAAACTTCAGGTAGGCTGGCTACACTCCAGGTTGTGGGTTGTTTTCTCATTGTGGAGGCTCAGGTGGTTTTCACTTTGTAGAAGGCTTTGGGTTCTCTGACAGGAATATTTGAACATTGCCTGGATGCCAGGGCAAGTAACCTCATTCAATCAGGGGAGTCTTGATTTTTCTTTCATTTCATGGGGGGTCCACAGTTCTCCTCAACAGTGCTAATAGACATTCTTTACAGGCTTACAATCACCACAGACAACCTTTGAGACACTGTCCCAACATCATCTGCACCTATGAAAGGCCAGTGCGATGTGTGAGAACACTGCTCCACACTGGATTTGTCTTTGTCGTGGTTCCTACCTTTCCCAGAGAGACCTTGTGAGGCCCAAAATGAAGGGAGGCAGTGAGGCCAAGGCCCTGGTAGTCTGTCACTGACATCTGCCTCTGGGGTCTCAGGTATGATTCCATCATGCAAAGACCTCTCAACAATTCCCCAGACTATATTTCAATACCCATGGGACACGATTCCTGCACACAGCCTTTTTTAAGAATGGAGTCAGAAGGGCACTTTCCAGCGACTACCTCACAGTATCAAAATGTCTCCTCCTCCAGAGGGAACGACCCAGAGATGGCCCAAAGATGCCCTAAGCTCAAAAGTTTAGAGTCCCACAGTGAATTATCACAGGCAGCATTATTTCTGACACCAGATCAGCTCTGTCTGTACCATTTTCCTCTGTTTAGGCAGGCTGACATCTCCTAGAGCCAGGCACAACAACCTGCCTCATGAAGGGATATGTGCTAGTATCAGGGCACCAGGCATGAGATGTGCACTATGGCTAGCGTCACAGTCAATGCCACCATTGACTACTGACAAGTCCCTATGGCTTGGCGGAAAAGGAGAATTTCGTGGGGGCGGGGGGTGGGTATTGGTGTTGGAATTTCGCCTGCCATCTCTGTGGGATTCACAGTATAGTCCCATGATCCCAGGAGAGGGCAGAGGTGAACCAAACTGAAAAAAAAACATCAATCAGAGCCAGGAATAAGCCCTGAAATCCCTAAGGATCCAAAAATATCTGCAGAATGCCTTAGGCCTGCCTAGACGTTGTAGGGGTGAGTCTTTTGGAAACTTGCCCTACTCTGATTTCTATGTAGAGCCTGTTTTCCCCATGGCTGCCCTCTCCCAGGTGGAGCTTCCTGCAGAACCACACAACCCAGAAGCTGCAGGGCTGAGTGTTGCTATGGGAGCATTGGGAGTGCTGGATGTCTGCTTGTGTGTGTGTGGCTTTCGGTGTTTTTTTGTTTGTGTGTGTGTGCCTGTACATGGAGTCTGCTTAAAAAAAATCTGGCTAACGCACTGTGGCACTTCATTTTTCAAGTCTCCTAACATTTTGGTGGCCTGTTGGTGTCACTGTTTTGGCTGCAGGGCTCAATGTTCTCTATTTTTCTGTAGATAATGAATCTATTGTGAATTGGGATGCTGGCAGAGGTCCAAATCACCTTTCCCTGTAAAAACAGTCTCTCTTCTACAAAGAAGAGGAGCACACCACATTCAAGAACAGACATCTTCCAGTGTGTTTTAATCCTGCAGCCAACCCAGTGATAGACAGTAGCACTGTTCACAGGGCCCCTTGAATTTACCTCAAATTTGATTCCCACCTGAGTAGGTGCTTCACCTTGTACGGAGGCACTAATCCATTGTCTTGGGGTTTCACTTTGGGTCAGAGAGTGTGAGCAGCAGTGAGGTCAGATAGGGGTGAGGATACAATCTGGTGAGGGGTGGATGGGGTCCTACACCTTCACCTGAAAAAAGGTGAAGACAAATGACAAAGAAGTTATTTCCAACTATATCCTTGTCCTTGTATTCCCTTAATATCACAAGCTGTCCACACTATGGCCCCATTTTCATGTGGGAGTACTCTAACACACAGGGAACATTTGGAGTGCAAACTGGGGCCATCCTGGCAAACTCTCAATTTGAGGGCTTTCAAACGCAGAGCCAAATGTGAGTGGGATGGATTGATACTGGGTGGGATGCAGCTTCCACAATTGCCTCATCTTTTCCTGACTTCTTTGTTCGTCATTGGCGTAGTTTCCTTGGTCTGGCTCAACGTCTTCTAAACTCAACATTCCCCAGTTCATGGAAAATGATCCTCATGGGATTCTATTGTGTGAGTATTTCCCCCTAAACACTGCCATGTTTTAATGACTGGGCAGCTGTGATACTTTTAAAACTGTAAATTCATGCAACAGCCACAAACAAGGAAACTCTTGTTCTCTCACTTCTATAGAAAAGCTGCATGATTCCTGGAGAATGTTTTATTGTCCTGAAGTCAACCCAAAAATCAACACTACCAGTCATGTTGCAGAGCTCCTTGAATTAACCTTGAATTCAGTTTCCAGCTGAGCAGCTGCTTCACGTTGTGAGGGGGCAATCCTCCATCATCCTGGGATTTCATTCTGGGACACAGAGTTTGAGCAGCAATAAGGTAAGATGCGGGTGAGGATGCAATCTGGTGAAGGGTGGATGGGGTCCCACACCTTCACCTGCAGAAATGGTAAAAACAGATGACACAGAAGGTGCTTCCAACTGCATTTAAGCATTCCCTTAATTGCAAAAGGATTCCACACCATGGCCCTGTGTTCTGGTGTGACTACTCCAAGTGGCAGGAAACAATGTTAGTGCAAACTTTGGCAATGCTGGCACATTCCCTATTGGAGGGCTTTTGTACAGGGAGCCAAGGGGGAGTGGGATGGAATGATGCTGTGTGGGATATGGTCTCCACACTTGCCTCTTCTTTTCCTCACTTTCGTGTTCTTCATTGGCCCAGAATTTCCTGGGTCTGGCTAAATGTCTTTCACAATAAACGTTTCCTGGTTCACAGAGGATGACCCTCATGGGAATGTATTTCATCAGTGCTTCCTTCTAAACACTGTCACATTTTAATGGCAGAGCTGTTGTGATACTTTTAAAACCATAAATTCCCATTACAGCCACCAACAAATAAATTCTTTTTCTTTTTTTCCTTAGACAGAGTCTCATTCTGTTGCCCAGGCTGCAGTGCAGTGGCATGATCTCCAGTCACTGCAAGCTCTGCCTTCTGGGTTCACACCATTCTCCTGCCTCAGCCTCCCGAGTATCTGGGACTACAGGAGCCTTCCACCATTCCTGGCTAATTTTTTATATTTTTAGTAGAGATGGGGTTTCACCATTTTAGCCAGGATGGTCTCAATCTCCTGACCTCATGATCCTCCCACCTCAGCCTCCTAAAGTTCTAGGATTACAGGCATGAGCCACCATGTCTGGCCCTTGGGAAACAGTTCTTCTCCCATTTCTATCAAAAGGCTGCATAATTCCAGTAGGATGAGAAGCAGACAGACGTATCTAGCTTTTTTTCTGGTAATCTATGTTCTGTTTTATTTCATCTGCAAGTCTTGTCTCATTGTGGAGGGCATATAGCATTGAATGTTGCTAGATGGGAATGTCTCTAAATACAGATTTTGCTGCCACTGATTTCAGAAAGCAAAAATGACTTTGCATAGGCTGGCTGCCTTCCAGCTTGTGGTTCGTGGTCTCATTGTGAGAGCTGAGGTTGTTTGCAGTTCTCAGGAGGCTTTTGGTTCCTCTGACAGGAACCTTTGAAAGTTTCTTATACTCCAGCTCAAGCCAGCTCCTTCTCTCAAGCAAGCCTTGATTTTTCTTTCCTTTCAGGCTGGGTCCACATTGCCCCTCAACAGCATTAGTGGACATGATTGTCAGACTTGCAATTTCCGCAGACACCTTCTGTGAACATTTTTCAACATCATCTACATGAGTGAGAGACCCGTTCGACATGTAAGAATACTGCTTGACTTTGGACCTGCCTTTGTCGTGGTTCCTGCCTTTCTCATAGATCCCCTGCCAGGCCCAGGATGATAGGAGGCAATGAAGTCAAGGGCCGAGCCCCATTCATTGAAAGCTGACTCTGGGGTCTCGGGTATAATTCCATCACATAAAATCCCCTCAACAACTCACCAGACTATATTCCAATCTCCATGGAACCTGATTCTTGCACACAGCCTCTTTCAGGAATGGAGTCAGAAGAGCAGTCTTCAGAGACCACCTCAGTTTGGAAAAGCCTCCTCCTTCAGTGGTTCCCAGCCATGGAGTCATCGTGAAGGGGCTCCATGGTCAATAATTTTACGGTACTGCACTTGGTTATCACAGACAGACTTTTTCATGATAGCATGCCATCTCTGTCTATATCATTTTCCTCTGCTTAGGCAGGCTGACAACTCTGACAGCCAGGGGCCCGAATCTACCTGGCAAATGTGCATGCTCTACTCTCAGTGCAAAAGGCCTGTTTGGGAGTTCTGACTAGTGTCACAATAAATGCCGCCATTGCCTAGTGACAAGTCCCTGTGGATTGAGGGAGGAAACCTCCATGTAGGGGCATTGGTAGTGGACTCTCACCTGTCTTCTAAGTAAAATGCATGGGACAGTCCCATGATGCTAGGAGAGGGCAGACAGAAGCCAGCCTCAAGAAACCTCAAGGGCAGCCTCAGGAATAAACTGAAGCATTCCTAATGATTTAAAATATGTGTAGAATTTCTAATGCCTGCCTAGATGTTGCAGGGGTGAGTCATTGTGAAACTTGCCCCACTGTGATTTCTAGGTAAAGCCCACCTGTGTTCCTGGGGTGGCTGTCTCCCAGGTGGGGCTTCCTGCAGGACCACAAAGCCTGAGAAGCTGCCAGACTTTGTGTTTCTGTGAGAGTGTTGTGAGTGTTGGATGTTTGCGTGTATGTATGGCTGTGTCTATGTGTGTGTGTGTGTGTGTGTGTGGTGTCTGTAAGGGGAGTCTGCTTAAAGTAATGTTGCTAAAGCACTGCAGCCCCCTTTTTTTTAAGTCTTCCAACTTTTTAGTGGATTGTCTCAGGCTGCGGGGCTTTGTATTCTTTCTTTTTCTATGGATTATGAATCTGCAATGAAGTCTAAGGCAGGATGAGACCCGCCAGGTAACAAAACACCTCCTTCTCCCAAAAAAAACCACTTTCCTAGAAAGAAGAAGGCCATACCACCCTCAAGAACAGACATCTCCCAGTGTTTTATTGTCCTTCAGCCAACCCAGGGAGAGACAGCAGCAGTCCTGTCTGCAGGGCTTTTTAAATGTACCTCGAATTTAGTTCCCAGCCAAGCTGGTGCTTCACATCGTGAAGGAGAACCCCTCCATCATCTTGGAATTTCATTCTGGAACAGAGAATATCAGTAGCAATAAGGTCACAGAGAGATGAAGATACAATGTGGTGAGGGGTGGATGAGGACCTGCACCTTAACATGCAAAAAAGGTGAAGACAGAAGACAGAAAGTGCTTCACACTGCATCCCTGCATTCCCTTAATGACACAGTAGTCCACACCATGGCCCGGTGTTCAGGTGGGAGTACTACAAGGTGCAGGGAACATTTGGAGTGCAAACTGAAGCCATCCTGCAAACTGCCAATTTAAGGGCTTTCATACTAAAGCCAAATGGGAGTACCATGAATTTATCCTGGCTGGGATGTGGCGTCTACACTTGCCTCTTTTTTTCCTGACTTCCATGCTCCTCATCAGCCTAGGGTTTCCTGGGTCTGGCTCAACGTCTTCGACACTAAACATTTCCCCATACAGTGATTATGACCCTTATGAGAATCCATTGTGTGCGTATTTCATATTAACAATGTCACATTTTAATTACTTGGCAGCTGTGATACTTTTAAAACCATGATTTCCTGTTACAGCTGCCATTAAGGAAACTCTTGTTCTACCACTTCTATCAGGGGCTGCAAGATCTCTGGGGTGAGAAGCAGGCAGTCATATCTCACTTTTGGCTGACATTCTAGGCACTGTTCCATTTCATCTGCATGTCGTTTCTCATTGTGGAAGGGATCTTTCACTGGACTGTTGCTGGATGGTACTACCTCTCATCACAGATCTTTTGGCTGCCAGGGATTTCAGGGAGCAAAAGACACTTTGGGTAGGCTCACCAAAATCCAGGTTGTGAGCCATGGTGTCAACGTGGGGGCTGAGGTTGTTTGCACTTTACAGGAGGCTTTTCGGTCCTCTGACAGGAATCTTTGAACATTGCTTGGACTGCAGCACAAGGCAGATTGTTCTTTCAGGTGAGCATTGATTTTTCTTTGCTTTCATAAGGTATGCATAGTGCCCATCAACAGCAGTACTTGACACTTTTCAGGTTTGCCATGGCCACAGACAGCCTTGGAGACACTGTCTCAACCTCATCTGCACCTGTGAGAAGACAGTCCACGATGTGAGAACACTGCTCCTTCTTGGACTTGCCTTTTTGAGGTTGCTGCCTTTCCCAGAGAGCTCCTGCGAGGTCCAAAATAAAGGGAGGCAGTGAGGCCAAGAGACCGGCCATCTTTCTCTGACACCCACCTTTGGGGTCTCAGGTATGATTGTATCACCCAAAGAATCCTCAACAACTCACCAGACTATACTCCAATCCCCATGAAACCCGATACTTGCACATAGACTTTTTCAGAAATGGAGTCTGAAGAGCAGTTTCCAGAGACCATGTCACCATCTTGAAATGCCTTCTTCTCCAGCGGGAACCAATCATGGAGATGAACTGAAGGGGCCCTGACTTTGCAAATTTTACAGTCCAGCCGTTGGTTTTCGCAGGCAGACTTTGTCCTGATACCAGGCCATCTCTGCTTGTACTATTTTCCTCTGCTTAGGCAAGCTGACAGCTCCAACAGTCAGGCGCCTGAGCCACCCTCATGAATGCACATGTGCTAGTCTCAAGGTATCAGGGCTGATTGTGAGCTTCGGCAAAAGTTACAAAAAAGGTCACCATTGCCTAGTGACAAGTCCCTGCCTCTTGCTGGAGACGGAGACCTCTGTGGAGGTGTGTCAGTGGTACACTCTCACCTATCTTCTCTGTGAAATCCACAAATAGTCTCATGATCATGGCAGAAGGCCTGGAGCTTGGTAGAAAAGGAGAATTCCCTGGAGGTGCACCGGCATTGGAACCACACCTGTCTTCTCTGTGGGATTCACAGGATAGTCCTAGAAAAGGGCAGATGAGAGCCAGACTGAGGAAAGGTCAAGAAGAGCCCCAGGAATAAATGGCAAACTGCCTAGGGATCCAAAAGGATTTGGAAGGATTCCTCAGGCCTGCCTAGAGGTTGTAGGGGTGAGTCTTTTAGAAACCTGTCCCAATGTGATTTCTAGGTACAACATGCATGTGTTACCCGGGGTTGCTCTCTCCCAGGTGGGGATTTCTGATGAGCCACACAGCCTCAGTAGCTGCCAGGCAGTGAGTTTCCGTGGGAATGTTGCAAGTGTTGGTTGTCTTTGTGGGTAGGTGTGGCATTGTGTATTTGTGTGTGTGTTTGCGTGCCTGTAAGTGGAGTCTGCTTAAAGGAATGTGGCTAATGCACTGCAGCATTTCTTTTATTTTTGAGTCTCTTATCCTTATAGTGGCCTGTCTGTGTGGCTCGGCTTGGGTTGCCGGGATTCATGTTCTTTATTTGTCTGTGGATCATGAATCTGCAGTGAATTGGGAGGTGGGCCGAGACACACAAGCATCCAAATCACCTCCCCTGCAACAAAAGCCACTCTTCTAGAAAGAAGATGAGCATACCACACCAAAAAAAAGAGATCTCCCAGTGTTTTATTGACCTGAGTCCAAACCAGAAAGTGACACTCACAGACCTGTGTGCATGGCCCCTTGAATTTACATCAAATTCAGTCTCCAGCTGAGCAGATGCTTCATGTCATGAGGAAGATCTTGTCCATCATCTTGGATTTCATTCGGGGACATAGATTGTGAGCAGAAATAAGGTCAGATGGGGTGAGGATACAATCTGGTGAGGGGTGAAAGTGGTCTCCCAACTTCACCAGCAAAACATAAAGACAGATAACACAGAAAGTGCTTCCAACTTCATCTCTGCATCCCCTTAATTGCACAAGCAGTCCACACCATGGCTCGGTGTTCTGGTGGGAGTACTTTAATCTGCAAGGAATATTTGGAGGGCAAATTGGGGCCATTTTTGCAAACTCCCAATTTAAGAGCCTTCATACATGAGCCAAATGGGAGGAGTATTGATTGATGCTGGGTTGGATGTGGCCTCCGTACTTGCCTTTTTCCCCCTGACTTCTATGTTTTTCATCAACCTAGGGTTTCCTCTTTCTGGCTCAATGACTTCCACACTAAATGTTTCCCAATTCATAGAGAACAACCCTCCTGGGAATCCATTGCATGAGTGTTTCCTTCTAAACATTGTCACCTTTTAAAGACTGGGAAGCTTTGATAGTTTTAAAACGGTAAATTCTTGTTACACCCACCAACAAGGAATCTGTTTTTTTTCCCACTTCTATCACAGGGTTGCATGTTTACTCTAGGATGAGAAGGAGGCAGCCACGTCTGGCTTTAGCCTGATAATCTAGCCCCTGTTTCATCTCATCTGCATGGACTTCTCATTGTGGAGGGGCCCTTTCACTGGGCTATTGCTGGCTAGGACTGCCACTTGCCACAGATTATTTTGCTGCCAGGGATTTCAGAGAGTAAAAGGGACTTTGATAAACTGGCTGCACTCCATATTGTGGATCATTGTCTCATCGTAGAGGCTGCAGTTGTTTGCACTTTGCAGGAGGCTTTTGGTTTCTGACAGGAATCTTGAACATTGCCTGGACTCCAGCAAAGGCAGCTCATTCTTAGGTGAACCTTGGTTTTTCTTTGTTTTCTTGGGGAATCCATAGTGCCCCCCAACAGCAGCACTGCACACCATTTTCAAGCTTGCCATCACCACAGATGGCCTCTGAGACACTGTCTCAACTACATCTGCACAAGTGAGAGGCCATTCCAAGATGTGAGAACACTGCTCCACATTAGACTTGCCTTTGTCATGGTTCTTGCCTTTCATAGATAGCCCCTGCAAGGCTCAGAATGAAGGGAGCCATTGAGTTCAAAAGCCCAATCATCTTTTGCTGACATCCACTTCTGGTGTCTCAGGTATGTTTCTGTCACCCAAAGAACACTCAACGACACACCAGATTATATTCCAATCCCCTTGGGACCCAATTATTGCACACACCCTCTTTCGCTAATGGAGTTAGAAGAGCAGTTTCCAGCGACCACCTCACAGTCGCGAAACACCTCTTCCTCCAGCGCGACCTGAACAAGGAAATGGCTAGCAGGGTCCCTGAGGTCAAGACTTTCAGGGTCCTGCAGCGGGTTTTTATAGTCAGCCTTTTTCCCAATACCAAGCCAGCTCTGCCTGTACCATTATCCACTGCAGAGGCAGGCTGACAGCTCTGACAACCTGACTTGAGTCTGCCTCACAAATGCACTTGCGCTAGTCTCAGCGCACCTGGTCTGATTGTGAGCTCTGTCTAGCATCACAATAAATGTCACCATTGCCTTGCAAGAAGCATCTGCATCTTGGTGGAAAAGGAGACCTCCGTGGAGAAGTGTCAGCGGTGTCTTCTCGTCTGTCTTCTCTGTGAAATCCACAGATAGTCTCATGATCCTAGGAGAGGGCAGACGTTAGCCAGCGTGAAGGAACATCAAGCTTAGCTACAGAAATAAACCGCAAAATCCTTAAACATCCAAAAAGATCTGCAAGATTTTGTAGGCCTGCCTAGATATTGTAGGGGTGAGTCTTTTTGAAACTTGCCCCACTGTGGTTTCTAGGTACAGCCTGTCTATGTTCCCTGGGATTGCTCTCTCCCAGGTGGGAATTCCTGCAGAGCTATGCAGCCTCGGGTGCTGCTGGGCTATGTTCTTCTGTGGGAGTGTTGCAACTGTTGGATATGTGTGTGTGTGTGTCATTGCGTGTTTGAGAATGTGTTTGTGGCTGTAAGTGGAGTCTGCTTAAATAATATGGCTAACGCACTTCAGTGCTGCTGCTTTTTTTTTTTTTTTTGTATGTTTCAATCTTTGTTGGCCTGCCTGTTGCTCTGCTTGTGCTTTGGGGCTCCATGTTCTTTATTTTTCTGTGGATCATGAATCTGCATTGCATTGGGAGGTGGGCCAAGACACACAATTGTCCAAATCAACTCCCCCCACAAAAAAAGCCACTCTTCTAGAAAGAAGAGGAGCACACCACACCAGAAACAGACATCTCGCAGTGTTTCACTGTCTCAACCTTATCTGCACAGTCCAAGGCCAGTCTGAGGTGTAAGAATAACCTCAACTGCACAGTGAAAGACCAGTCCAAGGTATGAGAACACTCCTCTACATTGGATTTGCCACTGTTGTGGTTTCTACCTTCCCCAGAGAGCTTCTGAGAGACCCAGGATGAAGGGATGCAGTGAGGTCAAGAGCCCAACCTTCTTTCACTGACACCCACCTCTAAGTTCTCAGGTATGATTCTGTCACCCAAACAACCCTCAACAACACAACAGATTATATTCCAATTCTTATGGGACCAGATTATGGCTCACAGCCTGTTTCAAAAATGGAGTCAGAAGGGCAGTTTCCAGCGAACAGGTTACTATCTCAAAATATTTCCTCCGGCAGTGGGACCTGACCATGGAGACAGCCCAAAGGGGCCTTCAGGTCGAGACATTTAGGGTCCCACAGTGGGTTTTCACACACTGCCTTTTTATTAAAAACAGGCCTACTCTGCCTGTACCATTTTTCTCTGCTTAGGATGCCACCTTGCTTACACACAGGCAAAAACCTCTGCAGGATTTTTCAGGCCACCCTAGATGTTGTAAGCATGAGTCTTTTGAAACTTGCCTAACTGTGATTTCTAGGTGTAGCCAACCAGGGTTTCTTGTGCTTGCTCTCTCCCAGGTTGGGATTCCTGCAGAATCACATAGCCTCTGGAGCTGCTGAGCTGTGTTTTCCTGTGGGAGTGTTGCGAGTGTTGGATGTCTGCATCTGTGTGTGGCATTGGGTGTGTGTGTGCACCTGTCAGTGGAGTGTGCTTGAAATTATGTGGCTAACCCACTTCAGCCCTTTGTCTTTCTCTTTTTTTTTTTTTTTTTTTAGTCTCCCAACCTTTCTGGTGGAGGATTTCGAGTGTTGGATGTCTGCATCTTTGTGTGGCATTGTGTGTGTGTGTGTGACTATAAATGGAGTCTGCTTAAAGGAATATTACTTATGCACTTCAGTGCTTTCTGTTTTTGAGTCTTCCAACATTTTGGTGGCCTGTGTTTCTCTGCTTGGGATGTGGGACTTTCTCCAGGTAGTGCTTCCTGCACAACAATGCAGCCTCAGTAGCTGCTGGGCTGTGTATTTCTGTGGGAGTATTTTGAGTGTAGGATGTCTGAGCGTGTGTGTGGCATTGTGTGTTCAAAAAAAGCCACTCTTCTAAAAAGAAGAGGAGCACACCATGCCAAAAAGAGGTATCTCCTAGTGTGTCATTGTCATGAGGCCAACCCAGGCATAGACACTGGCAGTCCTGTCCACTGGGCACTTTGAATTAATCTTGAATTCAGTTCCCAGCTGAGCAAGTGATTCACATCTTGTGGCGGGGGGCACTTCTCCATCATCTTTTGATTTCATCCTGGAACATACAGTATGAGCAGGAATAAAGTCAAATAGCAGTAAGGACAAAATCTGGTGAAGGGTGTATAAGGTTTTGCAATATCACCTGAAAAAAATAAAATAAAGATGGATGACACAGAAGCTGCTTCCAAGTAAATAGCCTGGTGTTCAGGTGGACATGCAGAGAACATTTTGAGAACAAATTGGGGCCATCCTGGCAAACTCTCAATGTGAGGGCTTTCATACCCAGAGCCACATGAAAGTGTGATGGATTGATGCTGGGTGGGATGTGGCCACCACACTTGTGTCTTCATGTTCCTTTTTGGCCTAGGGTTTTCTGGGTCTGGTTCCACATCTTCTACACTAGAAGTTTCCCAGTTCACAGAGGACCACTCTCATGTGAATCCATTGCATCAGTGTTTCTTCCTAGACTCTGTCACATTTTGATGACTGGGCAATATGAGACTTTTAAAAGCATAAATTCCCGTTACAACTGCCAATACAGAAATTTTTATTCTCCTTTTATCAAAGAGCTGCATGATTCCTGTAGGAGGAGAAGCAGGCAGCTGTGTTCTGCATTTTCCTGCTAATCTTGGCTCTGTTTCACTTCATCTGCATGTCATTCCCTGCTGTGGAGTGGATCTTTCATTGGCTCTTGCTGGATGGGACTGCCTCTTGCTATAGATCTTTTCACTGCCAGGAATTTCAGGAAGCCAAAAGGACTTTGCATATGGTGGCTACATGCCAGGATGTGGATCATGGTGTCCTTGTGGGGGCTGATGTTGTTTGCGCTTTGCAGGAGGCTTTTGGGTCCTCTGATGGGAATCTTTGAACTTTGCTTGTACTCCCACACAAGTCAGCTTGTTTGCTCAGATAAGCCTTCATTTTTCTTTGCTTTCAAGGGGAGTCCACATTGCCCCTCATTAGCAGTACTGGACACCATTTTCTGTCTTGCAATTGCCATGGACCACCTCAGACATACTCTGTCAACCACATCTGCATCTGTGAAAGGCCAGTTTGAGATATGAGAACAATGCTTTATCTGGGACTTGCTTTTGTTGTGGTTCCTGTATTTCCCAGAGAGCTCCTGTGAGGCCCAGGATGAAGGGAGGCAGTGAGGTCAAGGGCCTAACCATCTTTCACTGACACCCACCTCTTGGGTCTCAATGATGATTCCATCACCCAGAGATGCCTCAAAAACTCACCAGATGGTATTTCAATCCCCATGGGAATTAACTCTTGCACACATCTTCTTTTGGGAATGGAGGCAGAGGTGCAGATTGCAGCGACCCTTTCACAGTCTCAAAGTGACTTCTCCTTCTGCAGAACCCAACCTTGGAGACTGCCTGAAAGGGCCCTGTCATCTATATTTTTATGTCCAGTGGTGGGTTATTGCAGGCAGCATTTTTCCCTATACCAGGCAGGCTCTGCCTGTACCATTTTCCTCTGCTTAGGCAGGCTGACAGCTCTGATGAGTGCCTGAGCCTGCCTCAGAAATGCACATGTGCTAGTCTCAGAGCACCAGGCCTGAGTGTGAGTGCTGGCTAGCATCACAATGAATGTCACTGCTGCCTTGTGACAATGCCCTGTGGCTTGGCAGAGGAGACCTCCTTGGAGATGCATCGGCCGTGGACTCTCACCTGACTTCTCTGTGGTGTTCATGGGATTGTCCCATGATCCTAGAAAAGGGCAGGCATGAGCCAGCCTGAAGAAAAGTCAAGTACACCTCCAGGAATAAACTGCAGAATCCCTTAGGATGCAAAAGGATATACAGGATTTCTCAGGACTACCCAGAAGTTTGTAGGGTTGAGTCTCTTTCAAACTTGCACCACCGTGATTTCTAGGTACAGTTCCCTTGTGTTTCTTGGGGTTGCTGTCTCCCAGGTTGGGATTCCTTCCGAACAACACTGCCTCAGGGGCTGCCAGTCTTTGCTTTTCTATGAGAGTCTTGCATGTGATGGATGGCTGTGTGTGTGTGTGTAGCATTGTGTGTTTGTGTATGTGCGTGTTTATGTGTCTGTAAGTGGAGTGTGCTTAAAATAATGTGCCTAACACACTTCAGCACTTCTTCTTTAGTCTGCCAACCTTTCTGGTGGAGTGCTGTGAGTGTTGGATGTCTACATGCATGTGGGTGGCATTGTGTGTTTGTATGTGTGTGTGTGTGAGAGACTGTAAGTGCAGTCTGCCTAAGGAATATTGCTAATGCACTTCAGTGTTTGCTGTATGTACATCTCCCAACCTTTTGGTGGCTTTTCTGTGTGGGTCTGCTTGGGCTACCTGCAGACCCAGTTGGTGCTACCTGCACAACAGCACAGTCTGAGTAGTAACTGGTTTGTATGTTTCTGTGGGAGTGTTGTGAATGTTGGATGTCTGAGTGTGTGTGTGGCATTGTGTGTGTGAGAAAAGCCACTCTTCTAGAAAGAAAAGGAGCACACCACACCAAAAATGAGACATCTCAGTGTTTCATTGTCTTGCAGCCAACCCAGGGAGAGATGCTAGCAGTCCTGTGCACAGGGCACATTGAATTCACCTTGAATTCGATTCCCAGCCAAGCCAATAATTCATGTCTTAGGTCGGGGGGCTCTCAAATATCATCTTTGGATTTCATCCTGGTGCATAGAGTGTCAACAGCAATGATGTCAGATAGGAGTAAAGATGAAATCTGGGGAGGTGCATGGGATACCCCAACTGCACCTGTAAAAAAAAAAAAAAAAGAAAAAGGATGACAGACGACACAGAGATTGTTTCCAGCTAAACAGCCTGGTGTTCAGGTGGAAGTACTCCAATGTATGGGGAAAATTTTGAGTACACACTGGGGCCATCCTGGCAAACTCCCAATGTGAGGGCTTTCATACCCAAAGGCAAAGGAGAGGGTGATGGATTGATGCTGGATGGAATGTGGCTGCCACACTTGCCTCTTCTTTTCCTGACTTTCATGATCTTCTTTGGCCTAAGTTTTCCTGGGTATGGCTACACGTATTCCACACTAAAAGTTTCCCAGTTCACAGAGGATGACTCTCTTGGGAATTCATTACATGAGGGATTCTTTCTAAACTCTGCCACATTTTAATGACTGGGCAGCTGTGATACTTTTAAAAGCATAAATTCCCATTACATCCACCAACATAGAAACTCTTGTTTTCCCACTTTTATTGGAAGACTGCATGATTCCTTTAGGATGAGAAGCAGGCAGCCATGTCTGCATTTGCCTGGTAATCTTAGCTCTGTTTCACTTCATCTGCAAGTCCTTTCTCTCTGTGGAGTGGATATTTCATTGGCTTTTGCTGGATGGGACTGCCTCCTCCCTACAGATCTTTTGGCTGCCAGGAACTTCAGGAAGCCTATAGGACTTTGCGTATGCTGGCTATACTCCAGATTTTGGGTCTTTTTCTCCTTGTGGAGGCTGATGTTGTTTGCTCTTTGTAGGAGGCTTTTGGGTCCTCTGACAAAAATCTTTGAACATTATTTGGACTCCTGCACAAGTCAGCTTATTTGCTCAGATGAGCCTTCATTTTTCTTTGCTTTCATGAGGGTTCCACATTGCCCCTCATCAGCACTACTGGACACCCTTTTCTGGCTTGCTTTCACCACAGACAGCCACTGAGAAACTGTTTCCACCTCACCTGCACCCATTTTAAGGTGTGAGAACAGCCAGTTTAAGGTGTGAGAACAATGCTTTATCTTGGACTTTCTTTTGTCGTGGTTCTTACCTTTTCCCGAGAGCCCCTGTGAGGCCCGGTAACTCACCAGACTGTATTACAATCCCCATAGGAACTGCCTCTTGCACACAGCCTCTTTCCAGAATGGAGGCAGAGTATCTGATTGCAGCGACCACTTCACAGTCTCAAAATGAGTTCTCCTTCAGTGGAACTCGACCTCAGAGACTGCCCAAAAGGGCCCTATGGCCTAGACTTTTTGGGTCCAGCAGTGGTTTATCACAGTGCCTTTTCTTTGTTCCTCTTTTTGGTCAGGCTAACAGCTCTGACAGCCAGGCCCCAGAACATGCCTCTTGAATGCGAAGGCACTGGTCTCAAGGCACAAAGACTGAGCTGTGAGTTTTGATTAGCGTCACAGTGAATGCCACCATTTCCTAGAGACAAGTTCCTGCAGGTTGGCGGAGAAGAAGACCTTTTTACAGGTGCTGTCGGTGGTGGACTCTCACCTGTTTTCTCTGTGGGAATTACTGTATAGTCTCCTGATTTTAGGAGAGGGCAAATATGAGCCAGCCTGAAATAATGTCAATAAGAGCACCAGGAATAAACCATGAATTCCAGAAGGATCCAAAAGGGTCTGCAAGATGCTTCAGGCCTGCCTAGGCACTGTATCCTCACCCCTGTGAGTGAGTGAGGGGTGAGTGCTTTTGACACTTGCCCCACTGTGATGTATAGGTACAGCCCTCCTGTGTTCCTTGGTGTTGCTCCCTCCTAGGTGTGGCTTCCTGCAGAACCAAACTGCCTCAGGAGCTGATAGGCTGTGTGTTTCTGTGGGAGTGCTGCAAGTGTTGGATGTCTGCCTGTGTGTTTGACTTTGTACATTTGTGTGTGTGTGTGTGTGTGTGCCTGTAAATGGAGTCTGCTTAAAGGAATGTGGCTAACACACTGCAGCACTTCATTTTGTTGAGTCTCCAACCTTTTGTTGTCTTCCTGTACGCCTCTGTTTGGGACATAGAACTCCATGTTCTTTATTTTTTTGTGAATCATGAATCTGCAGTGAGTTGGGAGGCTGGCCGAGACATGCTGCTGTCCAAGTCACCATGCCCTGCAAAAAAAGCAACTCTTCTAGGTAGAAGAGAGTCAAACCACACCCAAGAGCAGACATCTCCCAGGTTTTCATTGTCATGTGGCCAACCCAGGGAGAGACAATAGCAATCCTGTCTACAACAACCCTTGAATTTACCTCAGGTTATATTCACAGGTGAACACGTGCTTCACATCATGAGGGTTACTCCTCCTTTGTCCTGGGTTTTCATCCTTGGACAGATAGTTTGAGCAGCAGTAAGGTCAGACAGGGTGGGGATACAATCTTGTGAGGGGTGGATGGGGTCTCACAACTTCACCTGCAAATAAGGTGAAGACAAATGACACAGAAGATGCTTCCAACTGAATCCCTACATTCCACTATTTGCACAAGTAGTCCACACCATGGCCCATTGTTGAGGTGGGAGTACTCCAACATGCAGAGAACATTTGGAGTGCAAACTGGGGACATCCTGGCAAACTCCAGATTTGAGCGCTTTCATAGGCAAAGCCAAATGGGAGTGGGATGGACTAGTTCTGGGTGAAATATGGCCTCCACACTTGCCTGTTTTTTTCATGTCTTCCATGTTCCTCTATGGCCTATGGCATGCTGCATGTGGCTCAAAATCTTCAACACTAAACCTTTCCCACTTCATGGAGGTCGAACTAATTGGAATCCATTGCATGAGTGTTTCCTTCTAATCACTGTCACATTTTAATGAATGGGCAGCTGTATTTATTTTTAAAGCATCAATTCCCATTACAGCTGCCAA
Source organism: Homo sapiens (assembly GCF_000001405.40). Lineage (NCBI taxonomy): Eukaryota > Metazoa > Chordata > Mammalia > Primates > Hominidae > Homo > Homo sapiens. Next base: position 6,393,646 of record NC_000024.10, on the reverse strand, counting down.
CAAGGAAACTTTCGTTCTCCCACTTTTATTGGAAGGCTGCTTGACTCCCGTAGGATGAGAAGCAGGGAGCCGTGTTTGGATTCACCTAGTAACCAAGGCTGTGTTTCACTTCATCTGCACTTCCTTTCTCATTGTAAACAGACTCTTTCATTGAGCTTTTGCTGTATGGGACTGCCACTCACAATGGTTCTTTTGGCAAGCAGAATTTCAGGGAGCAAAAAGACTTTGGTCGGCTGGTGGTGTTCCAGGTTTTGTGTCATGGGCTTGTTGTAAAATCTGAGGTTGTTTGCACTTTGTGGGAGGCTTTTGGTTCCTCTGGCAGAAATCTTTGAACATTTCTGGAAATCCAGGACAAGTCCACTCATTCTCACAGGTGAGCCTTGATTTTTCTTTGCTTTCATGCTGGGCCCACATTGCCCCTCAGCAGAAATACTGGCCACCATTTTCAGGCTTGCAATTGCCAAAAACGGCCTCTGAGACAATTTCACAGTATCAACTGCACCCATGACACTCCAGTTCGGTGTAAGAACTTCTTGATATTGGACCTACCTTTTTCATGTTTCCTGCCTTTTGCAGAGAGCCCCTGTGAGGACCATGATGAAGGGAAGCAATGAGATCAAGGGACTGGCTATATTTTACTGACACTCATTTTTGGTGTCTCAGGTATAATTCCATTACACAAAAATCCTTTAACAACTCACCAGACTATATTCCAATTTAGATGGGTCCTGATTCTTGCACAAAGGCTCTTTCAGGAATGGAGTCAGAAGAGCTCTCCTAAGCAACCACCTCACAGTCTTGAAACGCGTCCTCCTCCAGTGGTACCCAAAGATGCAGACATCCCAAAGGGGTTCTAAGGTAGAGAATTTTAATGCTAGTCTCAGGACACTAGGGCTTAGATCTGAGCTCTGGTTAGAGTCACAATGAATGTCACATTTGCCCAGCGACAAGTCCCTGTGACTTGGCTGAGGAGGATACCTTTGTGGAGGTGCATCAGCAGTGGACTCTCACTTTTATTCCCTGTGGAAGCCTCGGGATAGTCCCACGATCCTAGGAGAGGGCAGACATGAACCAGCCTAAAGAAACATCAGGCATAGCCCCAGGAATAAACCACAAAATTGCTAAGGATCCAAAAGGAACTGCAGGATTTTTTAGGACTGGCTAGATGCTGTATTGGTTAGTCTTTCTGAAACTTGCCCCACCGTGCTTCCCAGGTAAAGCCTGCCAGTATGCCCTGGGGTTGCTCTCTGCCAGGGTAAGTTTCTTGCACAACCACGAAGCCTCAGGAGCTGCCAGCCTGTGTGTTTCTGTTGGAGTGTTGTGAGTGTTGGAGGCCTGCATGTGTGTGGCATTTTGTGTGTGTGTGTGTTTGTGTGTGTGTGTCTGTAAGTGGAGAGTGCTTAAATGAATGTGGCTAACACAATTCAGGGCTAGTTTTTTGAGTCTCCAACCCTTTTGGCTCTGCTTGAGCCACATCATAAGTCTCAGTGAATTGAGAGGCAGGCCATAACCCACCCATGTCCAAATAATCTCCCCCTACAAAGCACAAAGCCATTCTTCTAGAAACAAGAGGAGCACACCACACAAAAACATAGATATCTTTAGTGTTTCATTGTTATGTGGCCAACCCAGACAGAGACAGTAGCAGTCTTGTTTTCAGGGCCCCTTCAATTTACCTGAAATTCAGTCCCCAGCTTAGCAAGTGCTTCACGTCCTGAGGGGGCACTCCTCCATCATTTTGGGATTTTATTTTGGGACACAGAGTATAAGCAGCCATAACATCGGATAGGGGTGAGAATTCAATCAGGTGAAGGTTGTCACCTGAAGACAGGTGACTCAGAAGGTACTTCCAACACCATCCCCACATTCCCTTAGTTGAAGAAGCAGTCCACACCATGGCTCAGTGTTCAGGTGAGTGTACAAGCTGGGGCCATCCTGGCAAACTTCCGATTTGAGGGCTTTCATACCCGGAACAAAATGGAAGTGGAATAAATTCATGCTAGGTGGAATGTGGCCTCCACACTTGCCTCATCTTTTCCTGACTTCCATGTTCCTCACTGGCCTACAGTTTCCTGGGTCTGGTTCAATGACTTCCAACACAGAACATTTCCCAGTTCACAAAGAACAACCCTCACGGTGATCCACTGTGTGAGTGTTTCCTTCTAAACACCATCACGTTTTAATGACTGAGCTGCTTTGATACTTTTAAAACAGTAAATTCCTGTTACAGCCACCAAAAAGCAAACTCTTCCTCTCCCACTCCTATCAAAGGGCTGCATGACTTCTGCAGGGTGAGAAGCAGGCATTCATGTCTGGCTTTTGTCTGGTAGTCTATCTTCTGTTTCATTTCATCTGCCTGGTTTCCTTATTGTGGAGGGGCTCTTTCATTCAGCTGTTTTTCAGTAGGACTGCCTCTCTACACAGATAATTTAGTTACCAGGATTTCAGAGAGGAAAAGGGACTTCAGGTAGGCTGGCTGCACTCCAGGTTCTGGGTCATTGTCTCATTTGGGGGGCTGAAGTTCCTTCCACTTTACAGGAGGCATTTGGATCCTCTGACAGGAATCATTGAACATTGCTTGGACTCCAGCACAAGGCAGCTCATTCTAGAGAGATGAGGTTTTATTTTTCTTTGCTTTCATGGGGAATCTACAGTACCCCTAAACAGCAGTACTGACACAACTTTTTATCCTTGCCATGCCATAAATGGCCTTTGACACACTGTCTCAACCTCATCTGCACCCATGAGTGGTCAGTCCAAGGTGTGAGAACAGTGCTCCACCTTGGACTTGCCTTTGTCTTAGGTCCAGACTTTCCCAGAGAGCCCCTGTGAGGCCCAAAATGAAGGGAGGAAGTGAGGTCAAGGGCCCAACTATCTTTCACTGACCCCAGCTTCTGGGGTCTCAGGTATGATTCTATCATCCAAATAACCCTCAACAACACAGCAAACTATATTTGCATCCCCATCATACCCGATTCTTGCACATAGCCTCTTTTGAGACTGGAGTCAGATGAGCAGTTTCCAGCGATCAGCTCACATTCTTGAAACGCCTCCTTCTCCAGCATGACATGGCCATGGAGATGCCATGAAGGGGCCCTGAGGTCCCCACTTATGGTCCCACAGTGGGATTTCACAGGCAGCCTTTTTTCTCGCTACCAGGCTGCACTGCCTGTACCATTTTACTCTGCTTAAGCAGGCTGACAGCTCTGACAGACAGGAAACATAGGCTGCCACAGGAATGGGCATGCACTACTCTCAGGGCACCAGGCCTGATTGTGAGCTCTGGCTAGCATCACAATGAGTGTAACCATTGCCTAGCAACAAGTTCCTGTGGCTTGGTGGAGAAGAAGACCTCCGTGGAGTTGTGTCAAAGGTGGACTCTCACCTGTCTTCACTGTGGGATCCATGGTATTGTTCCATGATCCTAGGAGAGGGCAGATGTGAGCCAGCCTGAAGAAACCTCAAGTAAAGTTCCAGCAATAAACCATGAAATCCCTAATAATAAAAAATGATCTTCAGGATTCCTCATTCAACCTAGACATTGTAGGGGTGAGCCTTTTTGAAACTTACCCCACTGTGATTTCTAGGTAGAGCCAGGCTGTTTTCCCTGGGGTTGCTGTCTCCCAGGTGGGGGCTTCTTGCAGAACCAGTCAACCCCATTGCTGCATTCCTTTGTAGCAGGACAAGCCATGAACAAAACCCCTCAGACACTGGATTAAAGAAGAAAGTGGCTTTATTCAGCTGGGAGTGTTGGCAGACTCCTGTCTCAGGAACTGAGCTCCTGGAAGAAACAGTTCCTGTCCCTTTTAAGTGCTTACAACTTTAAGGGGTTACACGTGAAAGGGTTGTAATAGATTGAGATCTAGAGATAGCACGTGTGGTTAGAGTGGTGGGTTAAACTTTTAACCTCAGGCCTGTTCATTAGTGGCACCAGCTGGTCTTGTCAATGATTTCATTCCTGATGTTTTTCAGCTTTTACTTCCTCCTTCTATTCAGAGAACAGGGGACAGTAAGAGAAATAGCCTTCCTCCTCATCCCCCTCTTTGAGAGCTGCACTCACTAGTGAGAGTTCTCTTTCTCATCTTCATTACCCAGGTCTTTCTGCAAAACAGATTGATAGTGATTTATGTAATGCACTTGTGCTGTGGTCTTTTGATGAACTAAGGTGGTAAAAGTACAGGTACCATACAGGGAGTAAACACTGGCTTGGGAGAGTGCCTGTGGACCTTCCCTTAGACTAAAATATTTACTTGGGGATCCAGTCCATTTCCATTGATTCTTAGAATTACATACTCTCCTGTTTTCCGACAGGGATCAAGTAGTTATAATGGGTTTTCCCACATCAGGCTGGTTACTTCCTGGGCTGCATACCTTGTGCAGGGTGGCGTTATACAAAGTCATCCCTTTTAAAGTTGCAATACATTCATAATAACTATAAAACAAAAAGACTGCTTTAACTTTTTTCCCTACCTCAGTAACTTGAACAGTCCTCAGTCTGAGGAAGGTCAGTTGAAGTCCTTACTGTACACATCCAAAATTTAAGAAAAGTGAGTCCTACAATGAGTTTCCTCATGTTTTGGCCATGCGTGGACCAGTCAGCTCCTGGGTATGACTGGAGTAGGGCTTGTCATCTTCTTCAAAGTCACCTTGGAGGTGTTATCTGGGCTTGGTCTCTCCTCCCAGGTCTCAGGTGCTGCAGTTTTAGGTGGCTATGATGGATCCACGCTAGAATTTTCTCTACATTTGTGGCTGTGGGAGTGGTCAAGACGAAGGCCTGGTGTCCTTTCCACCTGTGGCCACAAGGGGGCTACTTTCCGATCCGGGATCCACACCCGATCATCTGGGAAGAAAGTCATTTACCCTGGCTGAAATTGTTTCTGTAATTTTCCCTAGAGCCTGTAATTGTTGCTGTAACTCAATTTTACCTAGCTCTCAATGAGTGCCTAGGAGTCCCCGTAGTATGGGAGGGGGCCTATGATATAATATTTCATAAGGTGAATATCCTGTTCTTTTAGAAGGAATACATTTAATCTTAAACAATACCTTAGGGAGAGCTTGTGCCGGCTTTAATCCTCTTTCTTGACACACTTTTTCTAAACTATTTTTGATAGTCCAGTTCATCTGCTTCACCTTTCCGCAACTCTACGGTCAATAAGCAGTATGTAGTTTCCATGTCATTTCCAATACCTTTGCTGCCTTTTGTACCAAGTCAGCAACAAATGATGGCATGTTGTCTGAGCTCATTCATAAGGGCAGTCTAAACCTAGGGATGACATCTTGGAGAAGCACATAGTGTACTTCACGAGCTTTCTAAGTTTTTGTTGGATAGGCCACCACCCACCCAGAGTATGTACACACTAGAACTAGCAAATACTTGTTACCTCTACATTTGGATATCTTGGTGAAGTCTACTTGGATGTTTTCAAAGCGGGCTAATCCATAAGCTTGTATGTTGGGCAAGACGGTTAGACCTTGCCTAGCATTTTTCTGTGGAAAGGTGACACACTGAGTTTTGGTCTAGGTGGGTGGTCTCATGCACAGCCAGTACCACTGTGGCTACTAGTAGTTGTGACATGGCTATTCTTCCATCAAATAACAGAATCTTTCCCTCTTCTATCACATGCCCTCCCTCTGCTTGGAGAAAGTCTTTCTTTTCTTTAGAATAAATAGGTACAAGGTCAGGTACCTGATGGAGCAACAGGATTGTGACTGATGCCCCATAGTGGGTGGATGCTGCTTTCCGAGACTCTGAGTCAGCTCGGGAGTTCTCCAAGGCAATCGAGTGGAAGTTTGCTTGTTTCCTCTGCAGTGTATGACTGCTTTTCTTGTAGATTGACAAGCTACTCCCATCCATGTACAGCTCCAAATCTACTGATGCCCAAGAATGGTCTCAATGGGGAGTCTGCTAAAATAAACTGTGTCCAACACCTCTACACAGTTATGTTCACCTGGGCTCTCTGACACCAGTAAGGTGTATGTAAGGTGGTGGAGTTCAAGGTGTTGCAGACTTCAATGATTATGTGGGGATTTTCACAGAGCAAGCTTTGGTAGCTACTTACCCTTGCATTCATTAGCCAATGATGTCCTTTGGTATTCATTAATAACACCACAGCATGGGGAGACTTTATGTTCAGGTTTTGCCCAAGAGTTAGTTTATCCACTTCTTGTGCTAGCAGGGCAGTTGCTGCCAAGGCCTTCAAACATGGGGGCCAACCTTTAGAAACTCCATCTAGCTGTTTGGAGAAGTAGGCTACCAATCTTGGCCAGGGCACACTGTGTGGGTAAAAACTCCAGCTACCATTTTTCTCTCTCTGACACATATAGTGTAAATGGCTTTGTGAGGTCAGGCAGCCCCAGAGCTGGGGCTGATGTAAGTTTCTCTTTTAATTCATGAAAAGCTCATTACTGTTGGGACTCCCATTCAAAATTCTCTCTGTTACCTCCCTTTGTGACTTCCTACAGTACTGAAAATACAGCTCCTAAGAATTCTCTCATCTGCCTTCTGGTTTTAGTCTCCAGTAGGTTGCAAATGACCTGCTTTCTTTCTGATCCTAGGCTGTGCTCCATTGTAGGATAGTAAATCCCAGATAACATAAATGCTGTCAGCAGATCTGAGCTTTCTTTGGACACCTCATACCCGCAGTCCCCCAGGTGCCAGAGCAGGGTATCCATTCCCTTGGGGCACCCGATTACTGTTGGGTGTCCCTGCAGGAGGTCATCAACAGACTGGAGCAAAAAACAGTCTAGGTCTCTGTGGGAAACTTCTGGAAGTCCCGAGCCAGTACCTTCCCAAAGATAGTGGGGGAGTTATTGAACCCTTGGGGAAGCAAGGTCCAAGTGTACTGAGTGGTGACACCTGGCCCCGCATCTTCCCACTCAAAGGCAAAGAGTTTCTGGTTCTCAAGGGCTAGGCTGATGCTAATGAAGGCATCCTTCAGCTGTCCTCAGCTGGCAGCAACCCCAACAATTTGTAGGAGTTAGGTACAACTGGGGCAAAGTCACTGTAGCTTGGATGACTGAATACAACTCCAGTACTGGCCTGTAGTCCTTGATCCCTGGCTTTGGAACAGACAGGCAGGGAGTGTTCCATGGATACTAACAAGGGACTATAATTCCAAGGGCCCTCAGGTGCTTGAGATGGACCTGGGTACCTTCAAGAGCTTCTCTGGGGACTAGGGACTGTTTTTTCCTGGCTGGCTGGGCCATAGGCTTATCTCCTATGAGTAAGAGGGCCTAGTTAATTGCCAATCCTGGAGGGTTCTTTTCTGCCCACACTTTTGGCCATCACTTAGCCAGAGCTGGTCTTACATCTTAGCTTAACTGAATTAAGAGGCATCTCCATTCCTTCTCGCTAGGAACAATAAGGGCCATGATGACTCTCCTTCCAAGTAACTTTAACTGTAAAGAGCTGTGTTTTGTAAAAGAGATGGTGGCTCTCAGCTTGCTAAGTAAGTCCTTCCTACCAAAGGCAAGGGGCAGTCAAGCATGTACAGGAAGTGGTGAATCACTTAATGACCCCCCCATCCCCTAAAGTGCAGGTCTAGGGCAAACAGAAAGCTTACTTTGTCAGGACCCCTGTGTATCTGATTATATTACTAGTCTTTGTGGAAAAGAGGGCGACCAGGATGGTTACTACTGCACATCAGCCCGGACCCCCACAGTCCAATAACACTTCTGCTAGATTGAATAAGTCCCCTTCATCTTTGTCTGAGGACTCCTGCTCAGAGTCACCTTATTTCCCTTTCAATCTGGGGCACTTGTCCTTCCAATGCCCTATTTCCTTACAGCAAGGACACTGGTTACACAGCAAGCATGGATGACCAGACTGGGTATTTTTCCTAGGGCCCCCCTTCTCTCACCACTTTGGGGGGGCCCCTCTAATAGCCGCAGCTAGAAGGTCAACGTTTCACCAGGCTCGGCATTCACTCTCTCTGAGGTTCCCTCTGCAGCTTACTGCATCTCTATTTACAAACTTCTGGTGGGCTATCTCCAATACTGTGAATTATTCATGCCTGCAAACCCAGTCTGTTTCTGCCATTGTCTTCTAATGTCTTCTATACTTTAAGTAACTAAAGCCATGTTAATCATGTGCTGATATTGAGGGCTATTGGGATCAAAGGGAGTATATTGGGATCAAAGGGTCCCACAGTGGGTGTTCATAGGCAGCTTTTTCATAATACCAGGATGGCTCTGTCTGTACAATTTCCCTCTGCTTAGGCAGGCTGACAGCTCTGACAGCCTGGAACAAGATGTTGCCTACAGATATGCATGCACTAGTTTGAGGGGACCAGGCCTGATTGTGAGAGTTGGCTACCATCACAATGAATGTTATCATTGCCTAGAGAAAAGTCCCTGCAGCTTGGTTGAGAAGGAGACCTCTGAGGAGGTGCATCAGCAGTTGACTCAACTGTCTCCTCTGTGGGATTGTTCCATGATCCTAGGAGAGGGCAGACTTGAGCCAACCTCAAGAAACATCAAACAGAGCCCCAGGAATAAATTGCAAAATCCCTAAGTTTCCAAGATGACCTGCAGGATTCCTCAGGCTGGCCTAGACATTGTAGGGGTGAGTCTTTTTGAAACTTGTTCTGCTGTGACTTCTTGGTACAGCCCACCAGGGTTTTTCAAGGTTGCTGTCTCCCAGGTAAGGCTTCCTGAAGAACGACATAGTGTCAGGCACTGCTGGGTTGTGTGTTTCTGTGAAAGTGTTGGGAATATCGGATATGTGTGCATGTGAGGCATGGTGTGTTTCTGGCTGTCTATGTGTGTATGAATGTAAGTGGAGTTATCTTAAAGAAATGTGGCTAATGCACTTCAGCGCTTTTTTTTAAGTCTCCCCACCTTATGGTCACCTGTCTGTGTGTTTCTGCTTGGGCAGTGGGGCACCGTGTTCTTTATTATTATGTGGATCCAAAATCCACAGTGAATTGGTATGTGGGCAGGGAACTGCTGGTGTCCAAAACAACTCCCTCTGCAAGAAAAGCCACTGTTCTAGAAAAAAAGAAAAGCACACCACACCAAAAGATAGACATCTCCCTGTGTTTCATATTCCTATGGCCAACACAGGAAAAGACACTAGCAGTTCTGTCGGCAGGGCCCCTTAATTTTACCTCAAATTCTGTTCTGAATTGAGCAGGTGCTTCAAGTCCTAAGGAGGCACACCTCCATTGTCTTGTGATTTTATCCTGGGATATAGAGTGTGAGCAGCAATAAAGTCAGATGGGGTGAGAATACAATGTGGTGAAAAGTGGATGGGGTCCCACAACTTTACCTGCAAAAAAAGAATAAAGACAGATGACAAAGAAGTTTCTTCCAACTCCATGCCTGCTTTACCTTAATTGCAAAAGCAGTCCAGACAATGGCTCAGTGTTCAGGTATGAGTATTCCAATGTGCAAGGAACATTTGGAGTGCAAATTGGGACCATCCTGGCAAACTGCCGATTTGTGGGCTTTAATACCCAAAGTCAAATGTGGGTGGAATGGATTGATGCTGGTTGGATGGGGCTTCCAGACATGCCTCTTTGTTTCATGACTTCCATGATTCTCATTGTTTTAGGGTTTCCTGGGTCTGGCCTAGTGACTACCACACTAAATGTTTCCCAGTTCATGGAGAATGACTCTCATGGGAATCCATTGTGTGAATGTTTCCTTCTAAACAGCGTCATGTACTAAGGACTGGGAAGATTTGATACTTTTAAAAATATATATTGATGTTACAGCTGCCAAAAGAAAACTTGTTCTCTCACATCTATTGGAGGGGCCCATGACTCCTGTAGGATGAGAAGCAGGCTTGTGTGTCAAGTTTTTCCTGGTAATCTAGAGTCTGTTTCATCATCTGCACAACTTTCTTATTTTGGACGGGCACTTTCATTGAACTGTTGCTGGATGGAACTGCCTTTCACCACAGATTATGAATCTGCCAGTGATTTCAGACAGCAAAATGACTTTCAATAGGCTGCCTGCACTCCACATTGTGGGTCGTTGTCTCATTGTGGGGGCTGAGGTTGTTTGCACTTTGTAGGGTGTTTTGGGTCTCCTGACAGGAATCATTGAACATTGCTTGGATTCCAGCACAAGGAAGCTTGTTCTCTCAGGTGAGACTTTTTTTTGGACACCCTTTTCAGGCTTGCCATGACTGCAGATGGTGTCTGAGACACTGTCTAAACCTTATCTGCACCCAAGAGGTGACAATACGGATGTGAGACCATTGCTTCATATTGGATTTGCCTTTGTGTTGCTTCCTGTATTTCCCAGAAAGCCTCTGTGAGGCACAGCATTAAGGGAAGCTGTGAGGTCAAGAACCCAGCCATCTTTCACTGACCTCTGCCCTTAGGGTCTTAGGTATGATTCTATCAACAAAGAACCCTTAACACACCATACTATATTGCAATCCCTATGGTACCAGACTGTCGCAAAGAACATCTTTTGGGAATGAAGTCAGAAGAACAGTTTGCTGTGACCACCTCAGAGTCTCAAAACCCTTCCTCCTCCAGCAAGACCCAACCACAAAAACTGTCTAAAGGCGCCCTGAGTTTGAGAATTTTAGTGTCCTGCTCTGGGTTTTTCCAGGCTGCCTTTTTCTTGATACCAGGCTTGCCCTGCCTGTACCATTTTTTACTGCATAGGCAGGCTGACAGCTCAGACTGACTGATGGCGGAGCCTGCCTCACAAATGTGCATGCGCTAGTCTCACAGCACCAGGCCTGACTGTGACCTTTCAGTAGAGTGACAATTAATGTCATTGTTGCCTAATGCCAAGTCCCTGTGAATTGGAGAAGAAGGGCACCTCTATACAGTTTTGTTGCCCATGGACTCCCACTTGTCTTCTCTGTAAGACAGACAGGACAGTCCCATGATCCCAAGAGAGGGCAGATGTGAGAGTCTGTAGAAACATCAAGCACAATTCCAGAAATAAATTCTGAAATCCCAAAGGATGCAAAGAAATCTGTAGGATTCTTCAAGCCTGCCTAGGCATTGTAGTTGTGAGTCATTTTGAAACTTGCCCCACTGTGATTTATAGGTACATCACGCCTGTGTTCCCCAGGGCGGGGCGGGGAGAGGGGCTCTCTCCCACACTCAAATGTCCTGCAGTACCAGGCAGCCTTAGGAGTTCCCACGCTGTGTGTTTCTGTGGGAGTGTTGTAAATGTTGGATGTCTGTGTGTGTGTGTGTGAGACATTGTGTGGTTTTGTGTGTGTGTGTATGTGTGTGTGCCTGTAAGTGGAGTCTGCTTAAATGACTGTGGATAATGCACTTCATTGCTTCTTTTTTTTGAGTCACCAAACCTTTATGTGCCCTGTCTGTGTGGCTTTGCTTGGACTGCGGGGTCCAGGTTTTCTATTTTTCTGTGGATCATGAATCCACAGTGAATTGGGAGGTGGGCTGATACCTGCCATAGTTTAAATCATGTCCCTCTGCAAAAAAAGAAAAAAAAAAAGGAGAGAAAAAAAAAGAAAGCCATTCTTCTAGAAAGAAGAGAAGCACACCACACCAAAAAAAAAAATGACATCTAGTGTTTCATTGTCCTGCAGCCTAACCATGGAGACACTAGCAGTCCTGTTCTTAGGTCCCCTTGAATTTACATTGAATTAGCTTCCCAGATGAGCAGGTGCTTCATGTCATGAGGGGGTATTCCTTCATCATCTTGAGATTTAATCCTGGGACATAGAGTGTGAGAAGGAATAAGTTCAGATAAGGGTGAGGATAAAATCTGGTGAGGGGTGGATGGAATCCCAAACTTCACCTGCAAAACAAATGAAGACAGGTAACACAGAAGGTGCTTTCAATTCCATCCCGGTAAATCCTTAATTGCAGAAGCAGTCCACACCATGGCCAGGGGTCCAGGTGAGAGTGCTCCAACATGCTGTGGATATTAGGAGTGCAAACTGGGGCCATCCTGGCAAACTCCCGATTTGAGGGCTTTCATACCCATAGCCAAATGGGAGTTGAAGGGATTGAGGCTTGGCGGGATGTGGCCTACAGACTTGCCTCTTCTTTTCCTGATTTTCATGATTCTTATCATCCTAGGGTTTTCTGGTTCTGGCTCAATGACTTCCACAATAAATGTTATCCAGTTAATGTGGAACGACCCTCAAGGGAATCCATTGCCTGAGTGTTTCCTTGTAAACACTGTCATATTTTAATGACTGGGCAGTTTTGTTACTTTTAAAACTGTTAATACCCATTAGACCCACAAACAATGAAACTTTGTCTCCCATTTCTATTGAAGGGCTGCATGATTCTTGGAGGATGAGAAGAAGGCAGCCATGTCTCACTTTTTTTCTGGTAATCTAGCCTCTGTATCACTGCATCTGCATGGCCATCTCATTGTGGAGGAGCTCTTTCATTGAGATGTTGCTCGATAGGACTGCCTCCAGCAACAGATTATTTAGCTGTCAGGAATTTCAGAAAGCAAAAGAGACTCTGTGTAGGCTGGCTGCATTCCAGGTTATGGGTCATTTTCTCCTTGTAGGGGCTGTGGTGGTTTTAACTTTGCAAGATAATTTTGGGTCCTGTAACAGTAATCATTGAACATTGCTTGGACTACAGAAAAACGTACCTCATTCTGTCAGGTGAGTCTTGAGTTTTGTTTGCTTTCATGGGGAATCCACAGTACTCCTCAACAGTACTATTGGACATGCTTTTCAGGCTTGCCACGGTCACAAATGGACTCTGAGACACTCACGCTCATTTGCATCTGTAAAAGGCCAGTTTAACTTGTGAGATCACTGCTCCACATTGGACTTGCATTTGTCTTGGTTTCTGCTTTTTTCAGATAGCCCCTGTGAAGTCCAGGATCAAGGAAGGCATTGAGGTCAAGAGCCCAGCCATCATTTGCTGAAACCCACCTCTGGGGTCTCAGGTATGATTCTATCACCCAAAGAACCCTCTACAATACAACAAACTGTATTTCAATCCACAAGGGACCCGATTCTTGCACACAGCCTCTTTCTGGAATGGAGTCAGAAAAGCAGTTTCTAGTGACAAACTCATAGCCTCAAAACATCTCCTCCTCCATAGGGGCCTGATCATGGAGATGATCTGAAGGGGACCTGAGGTCTAGATTTTAGTGTCCCACAGTGGGTTTTCATAGGCAGCCTATTTCGCGACATTCGGCCAGATCTGACTGTGCCAATTTCCTCTGCTTAGGCAGGCTGACCAATATGACAGCCAGGGGCCATAGCCTGCCTCACAAATGTGCATGTGCTAGTCTCAGAGCACCTGGCCTGATGATGAGCTCTCACTAGTGTCACAATGAATGTCATCATTGCCTAGCAAAAAGTCCCTGTGGCTTTGCAGACATAGAGACCTCCGTGGAGATGGGTCAGCAGTGGACTCTCACCTGTCTTCTAGGTGGGATCCACTGGATTATTTCATTGTCCTAGGAAAGGCCAGACATGAGCCAGCATGAAGAAACATCAAGCAGAACCCTAGGAATAAAATGCAAAATCCCTATGGATCCAAGAAAATCTGCAGGATTCCTCAGGCCTCACTAGACGTTGTAGGAGTAAGTCTTTTTGAAAATTGTCCTACTGTGATTTCTAGGGACTGCCTGCCTGTGTTTCTCAGGGTTGTTCTTTCCCAGGTGGGTCTTCCTGCAGAACCACACAGTGTCAGGAGACGCCAGGTGAAGTGTTTCTGTGAGAATGTTGTGAATGTTTGATGTGTGAGGTATTGTGTGTTTCTGTCTTTGTGTGTGTGTGTGTTCCTGTAAGTGGAGTCTGCTTAAAGGAATGTGGCTAACGCACTCCAGTGCTTCTTTTTATTGTGTCTCTCCACCTTTTGGTGGTCTATGTGGCTCTGCATGGATGGCAAGGCTCCATGTTCTTTATTTTTATGTGTATAATAAATCCCCAGTGAATTTGGAGGTGGGCTGGGAACCGCCGGCATCCAAATCAACCACCTCTGCAAAAAAAGTCACTGTTTTACAAATAAGGGGAGCCCTTTGTCAGATGAGTAGGTTGCAAAAATTTTCTCCCATTTTATAGGTTGCCAGTTCACTCTGATTGTAGTTTCTTTTGCTGTGCAGAAGTTCTTTAGTTTAATTAGATCTCATTTGTCAATTTTGGCTTTTGTTGCCATTGCTTTTGGTGTTTTAGACTTGAAGTCCTTGCCCATGCCTATGTCCTGAATGGTAATGCCTAGGTTTTCTTCTAGGGTTTTTATGGTTTTAGGTCTAATGTTTAAGTCTTTAATCCATCTTGAATTAATTTTTGTGCACACGTATGTTTATTGCAGCACTATTCGCAATAGCAAATACTTGGAACCAACCCAAATGTCCAACAATGATAGACTGGATAAAGAAAATCTGTCACATATACACCACGGAATGCTATGCAGCCATAAAAAATGCTGTGGCTCACACCTGTAATCCCAGCACTTTGGGAGGCCGAGGCAGGTGGATCATGAGGTCAGGATATCAAGACCATCCTGCCTAAGACGGTGAAACCCCGTCTCCACTAAAAAATACAAAAAAAATTAGCCAGGCGTGGTGGTGGGCACCTGCAGTCCCAGCTACTCAGGAGGCTGAGGCAGAAGAATGGCATGAACCCAGGAGATGGAGCTTGCAGTGAGCCAAGATCGCTCCACTGCACTCCAGCCTGGGCAACAGAGCGAGACTCCGTCTCAAAAAAAGAAAAAAAAATGATGAGTTCATGTCCTTTGTAGGGACATGGATGAAACTGGAAATCATTATTCTCAGTAAAATATTGCAAGGACAGAAAACCAAACACCGCATGTTCTCACTCATAGGCGGGAATTGAACAATAAGAACACATGGACACAGGAAGGGGAGTATCACACTCTGGGGAATATTGTGGGGTGGGGGGAGGTGGAGGGATAACATTAGGAGATATACCTAATGCTAAATGACGAGTTAATGGGTGCAGCACACCAGCATGGCACGTGTATACACATGTAACTAACCTGCACATTGTGCACATGTACCCTAAAACTTAAAGTATAATAAAAAAAAAAAGAAATAAGAGGAGCACACCACATCAAAAAAGCAGGCATCACCCTGTGTTTCATATCCCTATGGTCAACACAGGGAGAGGCACAAGCAGTCCTGTGGGCAGTGCACCTTGAATTTACCTAAAATTTGGTTCCCAGAGGAGCAGGTGTTTCACGTCATGAGGTGGCAGTCCTCCGTCATCTTGGAATTTTATCTGGGGACATAGAGTGTGATGAGTAGTAAGGTTAGATAGACATGAGGATACAATCTGGTGTGAGGTGGAAGGGGTCTCTCAACTTCACCTGCAAATAATAATAATAATAAAAAACACTGATAATACAGAAGGTGCTTCCAACTCTATCCCTGCATTCCCTGAATTGCAGAAGCAGTCCACATCATGGCTCGGCTTTCAGGTAGCAGTACTCCAACGCTCAAGTAACATTTGAAGTGCAAATTGGGGCCATCCTGGCAAACTTCCGATTTGAGACCTTTCATACTCAGAGCCAAATGGGAGTGGGATGGATTGATGCTGGGTGGGATGGTGTTTCCAGTCTTGCCTCTTCTTTTCAGGCCTTTCATGATTCTCATGGCCCTAGGGTTTCCTAGTTCTGGCTTAACGACTTCTACACTAAACATTTCCCAGTTCACAGATAATGACCCTCATGGAAATCCATTGCATAATTCCTTCTAAACACTGTCATGTTTTAATGACTGGGAAAATAAGATACTTTTAAATCCATATATCCCTGTCACATCAGCCAAAAGCAAACTTGTTATCTCTTTTCTATCGAAGGGCTGCATGAATCCTGTAGGATGAGAAGCAGGCAGTTGTGTTAGACTTTTACCTGGTAATCTAGACTCTGTTTCATTTCATCTGCATGGCCTTCTCAATTTTGAAGGGCAATTTCATTAAACTGTTGCTTGGTGGTACTGCCTCTCACCACAGATTATGTAGCTGCCAGGGATTCCAGAGAGCAAAAGGGACTTCCATTAGGCTGTCTGTGCTCCAGGTTGTGGGTCATTGTCTCAATGTGGGGGCTGAGGTTGTTTGCACTTTGCAGAAGGCTTTTGGGTCTTCTGAAAGGAATAATTGAACATTGCTTGGACTCCAGGACAAGGCATCTTGTTCTTTTGGGTGAGTGTTGATTTTTCTTTTCTTTCACAAGGAATCCACAGTTCTCCTCAACAGAACTAATGGACACCATTTTCAGGCTTGCCATCTCTACAGATGGCATCTGAGAACCGTCTAAACATCATCTGCACTTGTTACAGGACAATACGAGGTGTGAGAACACTGTTTCACCTTGGACTTTCCTTCATCTTGGTTCCTGCCTTTCCCAGAGAGCCTCTGTGAGGCCAAGGATAAAGGGAGACAGTGAGGTCAAGAGTCCGGCCATCCTTCACTGACATCTGCATCTATGGTCTCAGGTATGATTCTATCACCCTAAGAACCCTCAACTACACACCATACTGTATTCCAATCCTCATGGTATCTGATTCTTGCACACAGCTTCTTTTGGGAATGAAGTCAGAAAAACAGTTTCCAGTGACCACCTCAGAGTCTCAAAACGTTTTCTCCGTCAGAGAGATCCAACCATGGAAACGGCCTGAAGTGGTCTTGGGGTTGAGACATTTAGTGTCCCACAGTGGGTTTTTGCGGGCCCCCTTTTTCTTGATAACAGGGTGGCTCTGCCTGTACTATTTCCAACTGATTAGGCAGGCTGACAGCTCTGACAGCCTGGCACCAGAACCTGCCTCAAGAATGTACATGCACTAGTCTCACAGCACCAGGCCTGATTGTGGGCCCTGGGTAGTACCAGAATGAATGTCATTGTTGCCTAGCGCCAAGTCCCTGCAGCTTGAAGGATAAGAAGACCTCCGTTGAGTTGCATAGGCTGTGGACTCACATCTATCTTCTCTTTGGGATAGATGGGATAGTTCCATGATCCCAAGAGAGGTCAGACATGAGCTTGCCTGAAGAAATGTCAGGCACAACCCCAGGAATAAATTGTGAAATTGTTAAGGATACAAAAAATCTGCAAGATTCCTCTGGCCTGCCTAAAGGTTGTAGATGTGAGTCTTTTTGAAACTTGCCCCGGTCTGATTTCCAGGTACAGCCTACCTGTGTTCCCAGGGGTGGCTCTCTCTTCAGTGGGGCTTCCTGCAGAACCAGGCAGCCTCAGGAGTTGCAGGTCTGTGTTTCTGTGAGAGTGTTGCAGGTGTTGGATGTCTGAGTGTGTGTGTGTGTGTGTGGCATTGTGTGTTTGTGTATGTGTATGTGTGTCCCTGTAAGTGGATTCTGCTTAAATGAATGTAGCTAATGCACTTCATTGCTTCTTTCTTTGAGTCACCAAACTTTTAGGTGGCCTGTCTGTGTGGCTGTGCTTGGGCTGCAGGGCTCCTTGTTTGTTAGTTTTTCTGTGGATCATGAATCCTCTGTAAATTGGGAGGTGGCCCAAGACCTGCCATTGTTTAAATCACCTCCTTCTGCCAAAAAAAAAAAAGCCACTCTTCTAGAAAGAACAGGAGGACTCTACACCAAAAAAAAAACAGACATCTCTCAGTGTTTCATTGTCCTGTGGCCAAACCAGGGGGAGACACTAGCAGTCCTGTCTGTAAGTCCCCCTGAATTTCATCCCTGTGACTCACGTATGATTCTATGACCCAAAGAACCCTCTACAAGACACCAGAATATACTCCAATCAACATGGAACCTGATACTTGCACACAGCCTCTTTTGGGACTGGAGTCACAAGAGCAGTTTCCAGCAACCACCTCACAGTCTCCAAATGCCTCCTTCTCCAGCAGGACCTGACCATGGAGAAGTGGAGAAGGCTGGAAGAGTCTCTGAGGTCTAGACTTTTAGTGTCCTGCAGTGGTTTTTCACAGACAGCCTGTTTTGTGATACTTGGCCAGCTCTGCCTGTACCATTTTCCTCTGTTTGGGAAGGCTGACAGCTCTGACAGCCAAGGGCCCTAGTCCACCTCATGAATGCACATGTGTTAGCCTCAGGGCACCTATCCTGATTGTGAGCTTTGGGTACCCTCACAATGAATCTCACCATTGCCTAGCGACAAGTTCCTGCAGCTTGGTGGAGATAGAGACCTCTGTGAGGGTGCATCAGCTATGGATTCTCACCTGTCTTCTCTATGGGATCCACAGGATTGTCCCCTTGTCATGGAAAAGAGCAGACATGAGCCAGCTTGAAGAAATGTCAAGCAGAGCCCCAGGAATAAACTGCAAAATTCCTAAGCATCCAAGGTCTGCAGGATTCCTTAGGCCTGTCTAGACATTGTAGGTGTGAGACTTTTTGAAACTTGCCCTACTATGGTTTCTAGGTACAGCCCACCTGTGTCCCTAGGGTTGCTCTCTCCCTGGTGTGGCATCCTGCAGAACCATACAGGATCAGGAGCTGCTGGGCCATGTGTTTCTGTGGCAGCATTGTGAATTTTGGATATGTGCGTGTGTGTGAGGCATTGTGTGTTTATGTCCTTTTGTGTGCATGTGTGTGTGTGCCTTTAAGTGGAGTCTCCTTAAAGGAATGCAGCTAATGCACTTCAGTGCTTTTTTTTCTTCTGTCTCCCCATCTTTTGGTGGCCTGCCTATGTGGCTCTGCTTAGGCTTCAGGTCTCCATGTTCTTTATTTTTATGTGGATCATGAATCTGCAGTGAATTGAGAGATGGACCTGGAATCGCTGGTGTCCAAATCAACTCCCTCTGCAAAAAGAAGCCACCGTTCTTCAGAGAAGTGGAGAACACCACACCAAAAAACAGACATCTTCCAGTGTTTCACAGTTTTGTGGCCAACACAGGGTGGCCCAACACAAGCAGTCCTGTAAACATGGCCCCTCGAATTTACCTCAAATTCGGATCCCAGCCGAGCAGGTGCTTCATGTCATGAGGAGGCACTCCTCCATCATTTTGGGATTTCATCCTGGGACATAGAGTATGAGCAGGAATAGGGTCAGATGGGGTGGTGATACACTCTGGTGAGGCATGGATGGGGTCCCACAATTTCACCTGCAAAAAATAAAATAAAATAAATAACACAGATGTCACAGTTGGTGCTTCTAAATCCATCCCTGCATTCCCTTAATCGAACAAGCAGTCCACACCATGGCTCAGTGTTCAAGTGAGAGTACTCAAAACAAAAACAAAACACTTGTTCTCTCACATCTATCAGAGGGATTCCTGTAGGATGAGAAGTAGACTGCCATGTCACGCTTTTACCTGGTAATCTATACTCTGTTTCGTTTCATCTGTACAGCCTTCTCATTTTGGAGAGGTTTTTTCATTGAACTGTTGCTGGATGAGACTTCCTCTTGCTACACATTATGTAGCTGCCAGTGATTTCAGAGAGCAAAAGGGACTATGGCCATGTAGGCTAACTGCACTTCATGTTATGAGTCGTTGTCTCGTTTCTGGGGCTTAGGTTGTTTGCACTTTGCAGGAGGGTTTTGGTTCTTCTGAGAGGAATCATTAAACATTGCTTGGACTCCAACACAAGGCTACTCTTTCTCTCAGGCAGGCATTGATTTTTCTCTGCTTTCATGGGGAATAAACAGTGCCCCTCAGCAGCAATGCAGGACACCATTTTCAGGCTTACCATCACCACACAGAGCCCCTGAGACCCGGTGTCAACCTCACCTTAGAGTTGACTTTGTCGTGGTTCCTGCCTTTCCCAGAGAGGCCCTGTGATGCCTAGGATTAAGGGAGACAGTGAGGTCAAGATCTCATCTGTCTTTCAATGACACTGACCTCTGGGGTCTCAGGTATGATTCTATCATTCAAAGAACAGTCAACAACACATCAGACTATATTCCAATCTCTTTGGGTTTCAATTCTTGCACAGAGCCTCTTTCAGGAATGGAATCAGAAGAGAAGTTTGCAGTGACCACCTCACAGTCTTGAAACACCTCCTCCTCCAATGGGACCTGACCACGGAGATGGCCCAAAGGGGTGTTGAGGTTGATACAGTCAAGGTCCTGCAGTGGGTTTTGGCAGGTAGCCTTTTTCCCGATACCAGGCTGGCTCTGCCTGTAGCGTTTTTCTCTGCTTAGGCAGGCTGACAGCTTTGACAGCCCAGTGCCTGAGCCTGCCACATGAATGTGCATGGGCTAGTCTCAGAGTAGCAGGAATCATTGTGAGATTTGGCTAGCATCACAATGAATGTCACAGTTGCCTTGTGACAAGTACCTGTGTCTTGGCAGAGAGGGAGTCTTCCATGGAGGTGCATCAGGGAAGGACTTTTGCCTATCTTCTCTGGAATTCATGTGATACTCCCATGATGCTAGAAGAGAACAGAAGTGAGGCAGTCTGAAGAAGCACGAAGCCCAGCACCAAAAATAAACCATGGAATCCCTAAGGATACAAAACTATCTTCAGGATTTGTCAGGCCTGCCTATACATTGTGGGGTGTCTTTTTGAAAGCTGCCCCTTTGTGATTTCTAGGTATAGCCTGCCTATGTTCCCCAGGGTTGCTCTCTCACAGGTGTGGCTTTCTGAAAAACCATGCAACCTCAAGAGCTGCTGGGCTGTTTCTTTCTGTGGGAATGTTGCAACTGTTAAATGTCTTTGTGTGTGTGTGACATGGTGTGTTTGTGTGTGTGTGTGCCTGTAAGTGGAGTGTGCTTAAAGAAATGAGGCTAATGCACTTGAGCCCTTCTTTTTTATGAGTCTCCCAGTTTTTCAGTGACTTGTCTGTGTGGCTCTGCTTGGACTGCGGGGCTCCATGCTTTTTTTTTTTTCTGTGGATTATGTATCTGCAGTGAATTGGAAGGCTTGCAAGATGTGGTGGTGTCCATACTATCTCTGCCTGCAAAAAAAAAAAATTCACTCTTCCAGAAAGAAGAGGAGCACACCACACCAAAAAACAGGCATCTCCCAATTTTTCATTGTGCTGAGGCCAAACTATGGATACTTGCAGTCCTGTCCAGAGGTGCCCTTGAATTGAACACCAGTTCGGTTCCCAGCTGAGCAGGTGTTTTATGTCATGAGAGTGCACTTCTCCATCGTCTTGGGATTTTATGCTGAAACATAAAGTGTGAGCAGCAATAATGTCAGATAAGGGTTAGCATAAAATCTTGTGAGGGGTGGACTTGTCCTGCAACTCCACCTGAAGATAAAATGAAGACAGATGCCACAGAAGGTGCTTCCAACTCCATACCTGCCTTCCCTGAATTGAACAAGCAGTCCACACTGTGGCTCAGCGTTCAGGTTGAAGTACTCTGATGTGCAAAAAAAATTTGCAGTGCAAATTGGGGCCATCCTGGTCTACTCCCTATTTGAGTTCTTTCATTCCTGTATCCAAAAGGGAGTGGAATTGATTGATGTTGGGTGGGCTGTGGCCTCCTCACTTGCCTCTTCTTTTTTGAATTCCGTGTTCCTCATTGGCCTAGGGTTTCCTGGGTCTGGCTTAATGACTTCCACACTAGATATTTCCCAGTTGACAAAGAACAACCCTCATGGGAATCCATTGAGTTAGTGTTTCCTTCTAAACAATGTCAGCTTTTAATGACTGGACAGTTTCATACTTTTAACACTGTAAATTCCCATTAATGTCTACCAACAGGAAAACTCTTGTTCTCCCACTTCTATAGGAGGGCTGCATGATTCCTATAGGATATGAATCAGGCAGCCGTGTCTGGCTTATGCCTGGTAATCTAACTTATCTTCCATTTTATCTGCACAGCCTTCACATTGTAAAAGAGCTCTTTCATTGGGCTATTGCTGGATGATATGGCCTCTTGCCACAAATTATTAAGCTTCCAGGGATTTCAGAGAGCAAAAGGGACTTCAGGTAGGCTGACTGTGCTCCATGTTGTGGGTTGTTGTCTCACTGTTGGGCTCAGGTTGTTTGCACTTTGCAGTAGGCTTTTGAGTCCTCTGACAGGAATCACTGAACAGTGCAGAGACTCCAGCACAGGGCACCTCATTCTTTAAGGCAAGCCTTGATTTTTCTTTGCTTTCGAGGGGAATCCACAGTGCCCCTCAATAGCACTACTGGACAGGTTTTTCAGGCTTGGCCTCACCACAGAAGGCATCTGAGACACTTTCTCACCCATATCTGCATGCATGAGAAGCCAGTCTGAGATGTGAGAACACTGCTTCGTTTTGGGCTTGCCTTTGTTCTGGCCCTGTGCAGAGATCCCCTGTAAGACCCAGGATGAAGGGAGGCAGTTAGATAAAGAGCCCAACCATCATTCACTGACACCCACCTCTGGGGTTTCAGGTATGTCTCTATCACTTAAAGAACCCTCAACAACAAACCAGACTATATTGCAATGCCCCTGGGGCCTGATTCTTGCACATAGCCTATTTCAGAAATGGAGTCAGGAGAGCAGTTTCCAGGAACCACCTCACATCACAGTCTTGAAACTCCTCCTTCTCTAGTGGGATCCCACATCAGAGAAGGCATGAAGGGGCTCTGAGGTCCAGACTTTTAGGGTACCACAGTGAGATGTTGCATGCAGCCTTTTTCCCAATACAATGCTGGCTCTGCCTATATGATTTTTCTCTGTTTAGGCAGGTTGACAGCTTTGACAGCTGGGCACCTGGTCCTGGCTCATGAATGCACAGGCACTAGTCTCAGGCATTAGGCCTGATTGTGAGCTCTGGCTTGCATTACAATGAATGTCACCATTGCCTAGAGACACATCCCTGGGCCTTGGCAGAGAAGGAGACTTTGTGGAGGTGCTGCAGCCGTTGACTGTCATCTTTCTTCCCTGTGGGATTCACAGAATAGTCCCCTGATCCTAGTAGAGGGCAGAGGTTAACCAGCCTAAAGAAATGTCAAGCAAAGACCCATGAATAAACCTGAAAATCCCTAAAAATCCAAAGGAATCTTAGGTTTCCTCAGACCTGCCTACAGGTTGTAGTAGTGAGTCATTTTGAAACTTGCCCCACTGTGATTTCTCGGTACAGCCTGCCTGTGTTCTATGGGTTTGCTCTCTCCAAGGTGCAGCTTCCTGCAGAATCATGCAGCCACAGGTGCTGCCAGACTGTGTTTCTGTAGGAGTGTTGCTATTGTTGGATGTCTGTGTGTGTCTGTGACATGGTGTGTGTGTGTGTGCACATGTATGTAATAAAGTCTGCTTAAAGGAATGTGGCTAATGCACTTCAGTGCTTCTTTTTTTTGAGTGTCCCAACCTTTTGGTGGCCTGTCTGTGTGGCTCTTCTTGAGTTGCAGGGCTCGATGTTCTTTATGTTTCTGTGCATCATGATTCTGCAGTGAATTGGGAGGCAAGCTGATATTTGCTGGAGTCCAAATCACCGACCGTTGCAAAAAAAGCCACTCTTCTAGAAAAAAGAGGAGCACACCACACCAAAATTCAGACATCTCCAGTGTTTCATTGTCCTGCAACCAACTACGGAAGAGATACTAGCAGTCCCTTTAGCATTACCCCTTGAATTTACCTCCCATTCTGTTCCCAGCTGAGCAGGTCCTTCATGTTGTGAGGGGGCTCTCTTTCATTGCCTTGGGATTTCATTCTGGGACATAAAGTGTGAGCAACAGTAAGGACAGATAGAGGTGAGGATATAATCTGGTGAAAGGTAGATGAGGTCCCAAAATTTCACCTGCAAAAAAAAAGTGAAAACAGCTGACACAGAATGTGTTTCCAACTCCATCCCCACATTCCCTAAATTGCACAAGCAGTCCACACTATTCCTGGGTGTTCATGTGGGAGTATTCCAATGTGCAAGGAACATTTGGAATGCAAATTGGGACCAGCCTGGCAAACTCCCAGTTTGAGTGTTTTCATACCCAGAAACAAATGGGAGTGGAATGAATTGATGCTGGGTGGGATGTGGCCTCCACACTTAACTCTTGTTTTCCTGAATTACATGTTTCTCTTCGGGCCTAGGGTTTCCTGCATCTGGCTCAATGACTTCCACACTAAGCATTTCCCAGTTCATGGAGAACGACACTCATTGGAATCCACTACGTGAGTATTTTCTTCTAAACAGTGTCATGTTTTAATGACTGGGCAAAACCACAAATTCCTGTTACAGTCACCAGCAAGAATACTCTTGTTCTCTCACTTCTATCCGAGAACTGCATGATTCCTGTAGGATGAGAAGCAGGTAGCTGTTTGTGGCTTGTGCCTGGTCATCTTGCCTATGTTTTATTTTATCTGCACAGCCTTTTTATTGTGGAGGGACTCTTTTATTAGGCTGTTGTTGGATGAGACTGCCTCTCATCACAGATTATTGGGTTGCCAAATATTTCAGAGAGCAAAAGGGACTTTGGGTAGGCCAACTGTGCTCCAGGTTGTGGGTTGTTGTCTTGTTATGGGGGCTGATGTTGTTTGCACTTTGCAGGAGGCTTTTGGGTCCTCTGACAGGAATCATCGAAGATTGCCTGATGCCAGCACAAGGCAGCTCATTGTCTCAGGTGAGGCTTGATTTATCTTTGCTCTCATGGGGAAGACACAGTACCCCTCAACAGCACTGTTGGACACACTTATCAGGCTTGCCATTGCCACAGATGGCCCCTGAGACAATGTTTCAACCTCATCTCCACACGCTAGTGTTCAGTCTGAGGTGGGAGAAGACTGCTCCACCTTGGACTTGCCTTAGTCTTAGTTCCTGCCCTTCCCAAAGAGCCCCTGCAAGTCCCAGGGTGAAGGGAGGCAATGACATCAAAAGCCCAGGCATCGTTCACAGACAACAACCTCTGTGGTATCAGGTATGATTCTATCACCCAAGGAACCCTCAAAAACACACCTGACTGTATTCCAATACTTATGGGACCCGATTCTGGCACACAGCCTCTTTCAGGAATGGAGTCAGAAGAGCAGTTTCCAGTGACCACCACACATTCTCAAAATGTCTCCTCCTCCAGTGGTACTCATCCATGGAGATGGCTTTGGGAGCCCTTAAGTAGAGACATTTATGGTCCTGCAGTGTGTTTTCACAGGCAGCCTTTTTCCCAATAGCATGCCGGCTCTGCCTATACCATTTTCCCCTCTTAAGGCAAGCTGACAGCTCTGACTGCCAGTCACTCAAGCCTGCCTCATGAATGTGCATGTGCTAGTCTCAGGGCAAAAGGCCTGATTATGAGCTCTGGCTAGCTTCACAATTAGTGTCACCATTGCCTAGTAACAAGTCCTTTCAGCTTGGTGAAGGACGAGACTTTTGTAGAGGTGTGTCAACCGTAGGCTCTTGCCTGTCTTTTCTGTGGGACCGCAGGATAGTCTATTGATCCCAGGAGAAGTCAGACGTGAGCTAGCCTGAAGAAACATCAAGCACAGCCTCAGAAATAAACTGAGAAATTCCTAAGGATACAAAAGGGTCTGCAGGATTACTCAGGCTTGTGTAGGCATTGTAGAAGTGAGTCTTTTTGAAACTTGCCCAACTGTGATTTTCAATTACTCCTGCCTCTGTTCCCTGGGGTTGCAATCTCCAAAGTGGGGCTTTCTGCACAACCACACAGCCTCAGGAGCAGCTGGGGTGTGTGTTTCTGTGGGAGTGTTGTGAGTATTGAATGTCTGCATGTGTGTGGCATTGTGTGTTTGTGTGTGTATGCATATGAACCTGTAAGTGAAGTCTGCTTAAAGGGATTTGGCTAACGCATTTTAGCCCTTCTTTTTTTTTGGAGTCAGCCAACTTTTGGTGGTTTCTCTGTGTGGTTCTGCTTGGGCTGCAGGGCTCAGTGTTTTTTATTCTTATGTGGATTATCAATCTGCAGTGAATTGGGAGCCAGGCTGAGACCCAACAATGTCCAAATCAACTCCCCCAGCAAATAAATAAATAAATAAATAAATAAGCCACTCTTCGAGAAAGAAAAGGAGTATACCACATGAAAAAACAGATATCTCCCAGTGTTTCATTGTCCAGTTGCCAGCCCAGGAAGAGACACTAACAGTCCTGTCCACATCGCCCCTTGAATTTACCACGAATTCAGCTCCCAGCCTAGCAGGTGCTTCATGTCACGATAAGGTGCTCCTTCATAGTCTTGGGATTTCATCCTCGTACATAAGAGTGTGAGCAGCAATAAGTTATATAAGGGTGAGGCTACAATTTGGTGAGGAGTGGTTGGAGACCCACAACTTCACCTGCAAAAAAATAAAGGCAGATGACACATAAGGTGCTTTCCACTCCATCCCCACATTCCCTTAATTACACAAGCAGTCCACACTGTGGCCTGGTGTACAGGTTGGGAGACTGCAATGTGCAAGGATCATTTGGTGTGTAAATTGGTGTTATTCTGGCAAAATCCTGATTTGGGGGCTTTCATACCCAAAGCCAAATGGGAGCAAAATGGATTGATGCTGTGGGGATGTTGCCTCCACACTTGCCTCTTCTTTTCTGGACTTCCATTTTTCTCCTTGGCCTAGGTTTTAATGGGTCTGGTTCAACAGTTTTCACACGAAACGTTTCACATTTCACAAAGAATAACCCTCATCAGAATCCGTTGCATGGATATTTACTTCTAAACACTGTCACGTTTTAATGACTAGGCAGCTTTGATAGTTTTAAAGCCATAAATTCCCATTAGAGCCTCCAACAAGGAAACTCTTGTTATCCCATGTCTATCAGATAGACGTGGATCCTCCTCCTGTAGGATGAGAAGCAGACAGCCATGTCTGGCTTTTCCTGGTAATCTAGCCTCAGTTTTATTTCATCTACATGGTTTTCTCATTTTGGAAGGGCTCTTTCATTGGGCTGCTGCTAGATGGGACTGCCTCTCACCACAGATTATGTAGCTGACAGGATTTCAGAGAGCCCAGAGAGCCAAGGGACCTCAGGAAAGCTGGCTGAGCTCCAGGTGGTGGGTCATTGTCTCGTTTTGGGGCCTGAGGTTGTTTGCACTTTGCAGAAGGGATTTGGGTCCTCTGACAGGAATCACTGAACATTGTTTGGACCCCAGGACAAAGCAGCTCATTCTCTCAGTGAGCCTTGATTTATCTTTGCTTTCATGAGGAATCTACAGTGGCTCTTGATGGTACTGCTGGACACCCTTTTCAGGATTGCTATCACCACAGACGGCCTTTGAGACACTGACTCAACATCATCTGCAACTGTGAGAAGCCAATCAGAGGTGTGAGAACACAGCTCCACCTTGGTCTTGCCGTTGTCATGGTTACTGCCTTTCCCTGAGAGCCTCTGTGAGGCCCAGGATGAAGAGAGACAGTGTGGTAAAGAGAACAACCATCTTTCACTGACGCCAGCCTCTGGGGTCTCAGGTATGATCCTATCACCCAAAGAACCCTAAAAAACACACCAGGCTATATTCCAAATCCCATGGGACTTGATTCTTGCACACAGCCTCTTTTGGGAATATAATTAGAGTAGAAGTTTCCAGCAACAAACTCACAGTCTTAAAATGCCTCCTTCTCCAGCAGGAAGCAATCACAGATGGCACAAAAGGGGTCCTGGGAAGTTGAGACTTTTAAGGTCCCACAGTAGGTTTCACAGGTAGCCTTTTTTTTCTGGTACTGGGCTTGCTCTGCCTATACCATTTTCCTCTGCCTAGGCAGGCTGACAGCTCTGACAGCTGGACACTTTAGTCTTCCTCACAAATGAGTACGCCCTAGTCCTAGGGCATGAGGCCTGATTGTGAGCTCTGGCTAGTATCACAATGAATGCACTACTGCCTAGAGACAAGCCTCCAAGGCTTGGCTGAGAAGGAGAACTCCTTGGAGGTTGTGTCAGCAGTGGACTCTTGCCTGTCTTCTCTGTGGGGTCCATAGTATGATCCCATGATCCTAGGAGAGGGCAGACGTGTGCCTACCTTAAGAAACCTCAAGCAGAGCCCAAGGAATAAACCGCGAAATACCTAAAAATCCAAAGGACCTGCAGGATTTTTCATGCTTGCCTAGATGTTGTAGGGTTGAGTCTGGAACGCAACCCAACTGTGCTCTCCAGGGTTGCTCTCTCACAGATGGTGCTTCCTACAGAACCTCAGAGCCTCAGAAGCTGCCGGGCTGTGTGTTTCTTTGGGAGTGTTGTGAGTGTTGTATGTCTGTGTGTGTGTTTGGCATTGTGTGTGTGTGTGTGTGTGTGTGTGAGTGCACTTGTAAATGGAGGTTGCTTAAAGGAATGTGGCTAATGCACATAAGTGCTTCTTTTTGTTTGTTTGTTTTTGCTCTCTTAACCTTTTGATAGCCTGTCCGTGCATCTGCTTGGGCTGTGGGGCTCTGTGTTCTTTATTTTTTTGTGGATTATGAATACATAGTAAATTGAGAGGCTGGCTAAGACCTGCCAGAAACCAAATCAACTTCCCTCTATAAAAACAGCCACTCTTCTCGAAAGAAGAGGAGCACATCACACCTAAAAGCAGACATCTCCCAGTGTTTCATTGTAATGAGGCCAATCCGGGGATAGACACTAGCAGTCCTATCTGCAGTGCCAATTGAATTTACCTTGAATTCCATTCCCAGCTGAGCAGGTGCTACAGGTCTTGAGCGGGTATTCCTCCATCATCTTGGGATTTCATTCTCAGACAGAGTGTGAGCAGAAATAAGATCAGATTGGGATGAGGATGCAATCTTCTGAGGGGTGAATGAGGACCCACACCTTCATCTGCAAAACACATGAAGACAGTTGACAGAGAATTTGCTTCCAACAGCATACCCACATTCCTTTAACTGTACAACTAGTCCACAACATGGCCCAGTATTCAGGTGGGAGTATTCAAATGCAAAGGGAACATTTGGAATGCAAACTGGGCCATGCTGGCAAACCCCTGATTTTATGGCTTTCATACCCAGAGCCAAATAGGAGTGGGATGGGTTGATGCTTGGTGGCAGGTGGACTCCATACTTCCCTTTTCTTTTTCTGACTTCCATGTTTCTCATCATCCTAGGGTATCCTGGGTCTGCCTCAACGTCTTCCATACTTAAAATTTTTCAGTTAATTGCAAACAACCCTCATGGGAATCCATTGCAAGAGTGATTCCTTCTAAACACTGTCATGTTTTAATGACTGGGCAGCTGTGATACTTTTAAAACCATAAATTCCCATTACTTCAGTCAACAAGGAAACTTGTTCACCCAGTTACATTGGAGGGCTGCATAATTCCTATAGGATGAGAAACAGGCAGCCCCACTGGCTTTTGAGTGGGAGTCTAGAATATATTTTATTGCATCTGCACATCCTTTCTCACTGTGTGTGACATTCATTGGGTTGTTGCTGGATGAGACTGCCTCTCACCGCAGATCTTTTCACTGCCAAAGATTTCAAGGAGCAAAAGGGATTTTGAGTAGGCTGGCAGCACTCCAGGTTGTGGGTCAGGTCTGTTTTTGGAGGCTGGGTTTTTTGCAAATTGGAGAAGGCTTTTTGTGTGCTGACAGGAATCTTTGAATGTTGCTTTGACTCCAACACAAGGCAGCTCATTCTAGCAGTTGAGCCTTGATTTATCTTTATTCTCATGGAGAATCCACAGTGCCTCTCAATAGCACTACTGGACAGCCTTTTCAGGCTTGTAATCACCACAGTTGGCCTTGAAGACACTGTCTGAACCTCTTCTGCACCTGTGAGAAGAGAGTCCGAGGTGTAAGAACACTGCTTCATCTTGGACTTGCTGTGTTGTGGTTCCTACCTTTCTGAGACAGGACTGCAAGGGCCAAAATGAAGGGAAGCATCAAGGTCGAAGGCATGACCATCTTTTCCTAACACCCACCTCTGGAATCTCAGGTATGATTCCATCATCCAAAGACCCCTCAACCTCTGATCAGACTATATTCCAATCCCCATGGGCAAAGATTCTTTGACACAGCCTCTTTCAGGAATGGAGTCTGAATATCGTTTCCATGGACCACCTCACAGTCTCAAAACACTGCCTTGTTCAGTGGGACCTGACCACAAAGACTGCCTGAAGGTGCGGTAATGCTGAGACTTTTAGAGTTTTGCAGAGTTTATCAGAGGCATCATTTTTTTTGACATCAGGCCACTACTGCCTATAATATTTTCCTCTGTTTAGGAAGGCTGACAGCTCTGACAACAGGACACCAGAGCCTGCCTCACCAATGCAATGCACTAGTCTCAGGGCACCAGGCCTGAGCTGTGAGCTCTGGCTAGCATCACAATGAATGCCACCATTGCCTAGCGACAAGTCCCTGCCATAAGGTAGAGAAGTAGCCCTTCGTGGAGGTGCACAGACCATGGATTCTTGCCTTCTTCTGTGTGGGGTCCACAGGATATTCCCATAGTTCTAGGAGAGGACAGACATTAGCCTGCCTAAAGAAACATCAAGCAGAGCCCCAGGAATAAACTGTGGAATTCCTAACGATTCAAAAAGATTTGCAGGATGCATCAGACCTGCCTAGACATTGTAAGGGTGAGTCTTTTTGAAATTTGCCCCACTGTGATTTCTAGGTACAGCCCATTTGTGTTGCCCGGAGTTGCTATCTCCCAGATGGGGCTTCGTGCAGAGCCACGCAGCCTCAGAAGCTGCCAGGATGTGTGTTTCTATGAAAGTAATGTGAATGTTGAATGTCTGTGTATGTGTGTGGCTTTGTGTGTGTGTGTGTGTGTGTGTGTGTGTGTGTGTGCACCTATAAGTAGAATCTGCTTAAAGCAATGTGGCTAATGCACTGCAGCACTTTTTTTTTTTTCAGTCTTCCAACATTTTGTTGGCCTGTCTGTGGCTCTGCTTGGGCTGCTGTCCATCCTTTTCTTTATCATTTTGTGGAGTTTGAATCTGCAGTGAATTGGGATGCTGGCTCAGACCTGCCGGAATCCAAATTACTCTCATCTGTAAAACAGCCACTCTTCTAGAAAGAAGAGAAGCACACCACAAACACAAAGAGACATCTTCCAGTGTTTCATTGTCCTGGGGCCAACCCATAGAGAGACACTAATAGTCATGTCCACCTTCAATTTACTTCGAATTCATTTCCCAGCCTAGCAGGTGCTTCAGGTCATGAGGGGTTACTCTTTCATCATCTTGTGGTTTCATTTTGGGATAGAGAATGTGAACAACAACAAGGTTAAATAGGGGTTGGGATACAATCTGATGAGGGGTGGAAAGAGACCCACACATTCACCTGCAAAAAATGTGAAGATAGTTGACACAAAAGTTGCTTCCAACAGCACCACAGCATTTCTTTCATTTCTCAAGCAGTTTACAACATGGCACAGTGTTCATGTGGGAGTTCTCCAATATGTAGGGAACATTTCAGATGCAAAATTGGGCCATCCTGGCAAACTCCCAAGTTGAGGGATTTCATACCCATAGTCAAATGGGAGTTGGATGGACTGATGCTGGGTGGGATGTGGCCTCCACACTTCCCTCTTCTTTTCATGATTTTGGTGTTCCTTGTCAGCCTAGGGTTTTCTGGGTGTGGCTCACCATTTTCCATACTAAACGTTTTCTGCTCCATGAAGAACGACCTACGTGGGAATCCATTGTGTGATTGTTTCCTTCAAAATACTGTCAAGTTTTAAAGACTGGGCAGCTTTGATAGTTTTAAAACTATAAATTCCAGCTATAGCTGCTAACAAGGAAACTCTTGTTCTCCCACTTTTATTGGATGGCTGCATGATTCCTGTGGGATGAGAAAGAGGCAACCATGTCTGGCTTTTGCCTGGTAATCCAGCCTCTGTTTCATTTCATCTGCACAACCTTCTCATTGTGGAAGGGTTCTTTCATCGGGCTGTTGGTGGATGGGACTGCCTCTCATCACAATTATTTAGCTGCCCTGAAATACATACTTTAGTAAACAATTTAGCACTTGTAATTTTTCAACTTTGTTTTCAGCGGAAGTTAATGAT
The DNA here is from genome assembly GCF_000001405.40 of Homo sapiens. NCBI lineage: Eukaryota > Metazoa > Chordata > Mammalia > Primates > Hominidae > Homo > Homo sapiens. The sequence goes on along the minus strand of NC_000024.10, from coordinate 6,361,978 downwards.
GTATGGCATTTCTAGTAGGTAAATGAATGTCTGAATTGTTGTGAGTTACTTTAGTCACTTCTCAGCTAACAATTTAAGTTATCAAAGGTCTTTACTTGTGCAATATCATAAATGATGGATATTAAAAATTAATAGAATGGATCTAACTAAAAGCTGCCATCTAACGTGATATTTTTCAGGAAGATGACAGCAGTAATTATGCCAAAAAATAGTCATTCTCTTAGTTTGACCCATAATAGCAATTTCCAACCAAAGATTCCACAGGCAGGGTCCAGATCTGGGCAACAGTTATTAACATAATGGTTATTGTTGAGAATAAATTTTGATACGTCTAGCTGTGCTTGAATGTCAGTGCTTTGAAGGGACAGGTTTGGCGTATTAATAAGAAAGGGTGCATTGGACTGAATACTAATAAATGAATTGTTTTTCTTATCTTCTATAACATGAAAGTTCAATTTGAGATATAGAAACACTGGAACATTTCACAGCATGGCCTGACATTTCACTGCGTTTTTATTTTTTAACGATGTACAAAGTTCATTAAATACACAAAGGTAGGACTGCTACAGGAAGAAAGTGGTGGAGTCAGAGGTCACAATCCAAAGCAAGGTGACAGTCTCTTGACGAAGACACCCTGAGTGCTGAATTAAGGTGAGAATCAACTTTCAGCTGTTAACAGGGGACAGGGAGAATGAAGTTATCAGCAGTTAACATTATTGGATTAATTGAAATGAATGTTGACAGAGATTTTATTGGCTTTACATCAAATGGAGTATAGTACTTCAAATTGCGTATTTGATGAGGGTAAACTCTTATCAATTTGCCACATGTAAAATTGAGAATTAATTAAGAGATTACACAACCCATACATTATGGGTATCTCATATAAATTTAAATACACATGTGCAAACTTGCAGTGTGCAAATATTTGTCTATACCTAAATATATCCAAATCCATTGATGAACAGTTAGAAATTTAGAAATTATTCTCCCATTTTATCATTCCCTTTCCTAGAATTTGGTCACAAATATAATTTTTCCATCTCTTTGAATCCTACTCTCTGGAGGTATGTAATGTATGGACACAGTAAAGCCTTGAGATATCACAGGGTTTGTATCAGAGAAAATAATAACACTGGTGTTACAAAAGATCCACTGTGAGGAGAAAGATATATTTAACATGATTACAAATACAGAAGTATTATTTCATCAAAAGCTGATATCAGTGAATACAATTTGTTTTTAATGTTTTATTTAAAATATTTAATATCAGAAGAATTTCTTGAGTAGAATAATGATATTGGTAAGAAATAATGATTCAGAATTTCCTTTAATTTGTTGATTATTTAAAATGTAAGTGAAATACTAAAAAGTACTGTATAATGTAGTTTCATGAAGCATTCTCTATGGTTTTATAAAATTAATAGTCAATGAAATTTTTTGACACAGAAATTTCCTTATATAATTTATTATTTATTATTGTACTTTCACTTTATTACTTGCATGTCATAACTGATAGAAATAAAAATATTTTCATTTACACATATACAAAACATCGATTTTTGTTTATGTTCTCTAGTGAGAGAAAGTCACCAATAATTTTATCTATGTAGGAAAATTTTGACAAGCCGAAAGTTCTTAACATTCTTTTCTTTTGAAGTTTCATATTTCAGTCTAGGTATGAGATCAAATTGACTGTGATTATTTTTTGATTTCACTATGACTACTGAGTTTCTGATATTGTGCTTTATATATATATATAGTGTTATATATATAGTGTTTTTATATATAGTGTGTGTTTATATATATATATATATATATACAGTGACACTCTCCTTAACCCAGATGGACTCCTTGTCCTCACTACATGGTCATGGCTCAAAGTATTACTCCTGGTGCCCCAGCCACTGTTTCCAGGTGCAGAGATTGACCAGCATACCCCTGAGTCCTTGTCCTCCAGTCCAAGTAATATCCATAGAAATAATAAAAGGGTGGCATATTAGTCTTCATGACATTTTTAAGGCTGACCTGTTTATAAGCATTTCATGCAGATATTTATGACTTTACCTCATTTATTTAACTTATTTATAGTGCTAATTTCAAAATCAATTTTTGCTTGAGAGTTATTTCAACATACAACCAAATGTTCAGAGCTATGACACAGGTTTCAAGCTTAAAAGTCTGTATCTGATATTACATTGGGTAAAACCCATCCAACACTTATAAAAATAAGTAATTATTAGGCATGGCCACTGTAATGATCTAAAACACACTTTGAAATTCTTTGCAAACCAATTTGAAAATATTCCTGATGTGACAGAACACAGTACTTGCTTCTAATTAATAGAAAACAGTGAAAGCATTTTCTGGATATTGGGCCACCTCTGGCCTAGGCTAGAAAAGGTGACACAGCTCTGCCTAAGTCTCCTGCTGTCATGGGGACAAACCCCTCAGGAGCCCCAGACCAGTACATCATGAAGTCTAACACCCTGATAACACTATGCAGAATGGACATCCCATGGAGAGACTCATAGAAATAAAAGGAGATGCCTGAGGATCTCAGCAGCCCAACCTCCACTATTTGAGTTATGCTAGCCATGGCACCAGGGAAATAAGAAGACACCTGGCAATGTCCCCATCCTGAGCCATCACTAGATTGTATCCTCCTGAGTGCCCCTGAACCACAATCATTTGGCTGAGAGACTGTGGAAGATTTTAGAGACTGAGAGTTAATAAATTATAATTATTGTTTGAAGCCACTAACTTTCTGATAATTTTGAAAAGCACTTTAGACTCCTAGAAAAACTGAGTTGTCTACTGATTTGAGTAATTTTAGAGAGCTTTAAAGGCCAACTTCATGAATGCTAATACCTTGGAAAAGTCAAACAATCAAGACTATTCTAAACACAACAGATATTTAATTTCCCTTTGCTATGGCTGGAGAATAATCTAACATGTATCTGACAGAGTACTTTGAAAGACTCTGTTCACATCTCTTTTCTGGGTATGTGCCAACTCTGGTCTGCTTTAATTTTAGTCAACTGCAGCAACTCATATATCATTTTAGGTCCTGGCCTACACTGATCTTTAATCACTGACTGTGTCTGTGTCTGTGTCTGTATGTATTGTGTGTTATCATATTTTATCCAAAGGGGCTAAATAACAGTGCTATAGTGGTTTCATAATCATAAAGCATTCCAGGAACACAATATTGCTTATCAACTGAGCTTTAAAACAGATATGAGGCAGGACATGGTGGCTCACACCTGCACTCCCAGCAATTTGGCAAGCCAAGGTGGGTGGATCTCTTGATGTCAGGAGTTTGTGATAAGCCTGGCCAACATGGCAAGATCCCATGTCTAATATCATAGCAAAGCTAGCCAGGCTTGGTGTCCCATGAATATAATCTCATCTATGTGGGAGGCTGATGCAGGAGAATCCACTGAAACGCTGAGACAGAGTTTGCGGTGAAGTAAGATGACACCACTGCACTCCATCCTGGGCACCAGAGCCAAGACACTGTCTCAGAAATAAAAATGAAATAAAATAATAAAATAGACAGGAGAGATCACTGAGAAAAGAAACACATAAAACTGGGTGGGCATTGTGGCTTATGACTGAAATCCCAGCATTTTAAGAGGCTAAGGTGGGTGGATGGCTTGAGGAAAGGAGCTTGAGACCAGCCTGAGCAAATATTGTGAAACCTGGTCTTTACTAAAAGTGCAGAAAAAAAAAAAAAAGCTAAGATTGTTGTCACATGCCTGCAGTCATAGCTACTCGGGAGGGTGTGACTGGAGAACTGCTGGAACCCAGGATGGGAAGGTTGCAGTGAGCTGAGATCATGCCACTGCACTCCAGCCTAGGCAACAGAGCAGGATTCCATCTAAAAATATTAAACAGAGATACAGAGATAGAGGAAAGGAAGAAAGAAAGAAAGAAAGAAAGAAAGAAAGAAAGAAAGAAAGAAAGAAAGAAGATAGAAAGAAAGAAAGAAAGAAAGAAAGAAAGAAAGAAAGAAAGAAAGAAAGAAGGAAAGAAAGAAGGAAAGAAGGAAAGAAAGACAGGGAGAAGGGAGGGAGGGAAGAAGGGAGGGAGAAAAAGAGAATGAAAGGCATGAAACCAAAAGGAAATGAATAAAAATAAAAACATGATTTTACTCATTATCCACATGAATTTTGAACTATGTTTACATTAATATTTTATGTTTAAAATAATATTAATAATATTTAGGTCTCTGGTGGACTAACAGAAATGTTAAAATAAGCTGGTGTATATTTGACAATACTCAAGTAACTATGAGTATTGTCAAAATTACTCATGTAACTAAGCTTCTTGGAAGAGCTGAAACCTAGTTTCCAACAACCAAACACAATTGACATTTGTCATCAAATTGCACACTATTAGGGGCAGGGTAGTCTGTATTATGCTGCCTAGTCCATATTAAATTAAAAGTGCAATCAAATCTGCAAAAGATTTTCCATTTACTATTACCAGTAATGATTGTTTTGTTTCCTGACTTGTGGAGAGTTTTATTCCCATAGCTTTGATGGCTCTGGCAGAAAGCCTTCCTGTTCCAAACTCACCACTTATCACCATAGTACCCGCGTTCAGGCATTAAGAAGAAAAGAGCATCCAATCCCTCTGCTTTCCTGCATCGGCTCCCATGCACAAGCAAATGTGTTGTGTTAGTGGCTATCAAATATTCATGTATTTGATCAAGGAAATTTGTATTTCCAAATGGTAAAACAAAAATACTACTATCAGTTGTATTTTTATTATTTATTTACTTAGAGTGAGGGTCTTGCTCTGTCAACAGTCTGAATTATACATCACTGTAGTCTAACACTTTTGGGCTCAGAGGATCCTCCAACATCAACTTCCTAAAGTACTGAAATTATAGACTTTAGCCATTGTACCCAGCCTCAAGTTTAGAGATAAAGACTAACGAAGATATTGTAAAGCATGTAAATAAACATAATTGCAGGTTATCTACAGAGCTGTAAGAAACCACTGAAAAACTGCCATTGTGGACAAGGCTCCTGGCAAAAATGTAATGCAAACAAAGGAATGGGTCCTTCCCAATGAGCCTTCAGATAATACCAGAGACCAGCATGGCATTTCCATTGCTGCTTTTTGACAGAACATGAAACCTAGTTGTGTGCGTTTTGTGTGTGTGTATAAGCATACATTCACAACCAGTTGAACAATCTAGGATCACCCACACAGTGGAATATGATGCAGCTCTTTGTATATATGGTAGAATGCATCCTGAATCTGTCAGTTTCTTGGCTTTTTTTTTTTTGGCTGGTAGGTTATTTATTAGTAATGATTCAATTTCAGAAATTGAAATTGGACAGGCTGGAGCTGAGACCGGGTTCACTTTGATTCTGTTGTGGAACAGAGAATGGCATGGCTGTAATTTTGGCTGTGATGATTACTGGAAGGTCTCTGCACAAATGGGCTAGTTTTCTGCCTGCAGCAGGAGGCTCTGGGGCTGAAAATCAGCTCCCTTGACATTGCTGTTGAACAGATCATTTAGAACCTGGTCTGGGCTAAGAAAGTTGCATTTGCCCAGAAAGTTTCTCAAAGAGCTTATAATTCCCTGACATAGGGAAGAACCAGAGCTGAGAGTGGGTTCTCCCAATAGGGAACAAAGGCTGGAGAGTCTAGATCCATTTTCTGCTGGAGAGAGCCTGGATAGACTACATTCATTGGCTCAGACAGGCAAGTTCCCCAGCATGGTAGTTGTTTCTGAGCAGCAGAGGGAGGAGCTGGAACTGAGACTGGGATTCTCGGTTTCTCAATAAAATCATGTGCTCTAGAGATTCTAACACCCCAGTGATTTCCATTAGATATATCAGAAGTGAACATCCTTCCAGAGGTAACAAGGCTTATTATATAAGCTACTTGCCCTCTGGGTCCAGTTAGAGCCAGCAACTTCATCCTTAACCACTAAACTGCCTAAACTGCCTCTGATATTCAGCCTGGGGATGGGTGGAGCACACAGGGCTAAGATGGTCAAAAGTATGATAGCCTAGATTGGGTGGGGTCACATGAACATTCTGTGGGTAATTACCAAGCTGCCTCTTTGTCACAGCCTGGGAAGTTCTGCAGAGAAAGCCAGGGTGGGATTTGGCAGTTGGCCAATGATTTGAGCCTGGCAGACCAATCAACCACGGTTGGTTGCTGCAGAATGATGTTGTTGCCTAGTTTCTCTGGTGGTTCTCCTCTGCTGGCTGGAATGCAAAGCCACCAGTAAGATTACTTTCATGGTCAATGTGAGCCCCATCCATGTAGTTTGTTTCTACCTGACCCCAGTTGTCTGATACCCTCGATGTTACCCACTGGGTAAGACTAGAGAGAACATCATGTGAAGAATTGCAAAATGGAAAAGAAAAGCCTGAATGTGCACTTTCAACTCTCTCCAATCTGAAGAAACTGTGAGTCCAGGGAAATGTTTTTCATATGCAACACTGTGCTGGCTTGGGGAGAAAAAAAACTTCAAATTAAAACTGTTCTTTTATCCTATGTGTATGGCTATTCTATGTTCTACAGTCAAAAAAGGTGTCATAGATTCAATCCCAAGTTATAGAATCATTCACTAAGGTGTCCTTATCTAAGGATATTTGTGAGCTGAGTTTTTGTTTGTTTGTTTTTTTGTTTTTGTGGAGAGGGTAGGAATTAGCAGAATCACAGAATGCCTACTCTGTCACTTCAGATCCCAGAAACAGGCAAGTTAAAAGAATGGTCTATGCTGATCACAGTGGCTCACACCTGTAACTCCAGCACTTTGGGAGGATGAGGTGGGCATATCACAAGTTCAGGAGGTTGAGACCATCCTGGCTAAAATGGTGAAATCTCCTCTCTATTAAACATACCAAAAAAGAAAAAAATCAGCCAGGCCTGGTGGCATGTGCCTGTAGTCCCAGCTACTTGGAAGGTTGAGGCAGGAATATATCTTGAACCCAGCAGATGGAGGTCAAAGTGAGCTGAGATCATGCCACTTCCCTCCAACATGGGTGACAGAGTGAGACTCAATCTCAAAAAAAAAAAATACTGGTCCTAAGGGAGGAGTTTAAAATGTTGTGGTGCTTCCATGGAGAACCTGAAAGCTAGAGTAAGCCAAGGGTTGGATTTAAGGACAATTTCACGGGACCACCGAAAACCACTTTTTTTTTCCTCTGTGGAACAAAGGAAACAGTGAATGCTGAGCTCCACTGCTTACTGATATAGGCACATTATCAGCCAGAGATACATGGCTTATTCTGTTTGTGTTCCTATAAAAGAATGAGACTGGAACATTTATAAAGAAAAAAGCTTTCATTGGCTCCTGGTTCTGGAGGCTGTAAAAGATGTGTGGTCTCAGCATCTGCATCTGGTGAGAGTCTCATGAGGCTTCCACTCAGGACAGAAGGTAAAGGAAAACAGGCATGCCACATGTGGAGAGAGCAAGAGAGAGAATGGGAGACAGTATCAGGCTCTTTTGAACAACCTATTTGGATGTAAATTCCATTGTGGGAACTAATAGAGTGGAAAACTCACTTATTAACCATGGTGAGGGTGCCAAGCCATTTATGAGGGATCCAGCCCCACACTAGGTGTCATTTATAGTGTGGACAACCACATTTCAACCTGAGGCTTGGAGGGAAAAATATTTAAACTACAAAAATAAGCCAGTTTAATAGTCATGCAGAGTTATGGTAAAAAAAATCATTTTTCCTCTTCAAAACCCTGGGGCTACAAGATGCTGGGCTTCATTAGCTTCCAGAGATTGGCAAGTTAGTATTAAAACTCTTAGGCATCAAGCTGAGAAGTCAGGGAAATAGTTGGGTAGTTTGACTTCTTGGAAGGAAAATTTAGAAGCTCAGTATATTGCTAGAGTGAGTGACGATGAAGACTGATGGGAAATGCCTATGTGCCTGCTCTCAGAGGACCTTGACAGATCCAAAAGTCAGGAGGATTAGAAGCAAGATACCTGGGCAGAAGCTATAAAAGTGAGGACATGACTGGATGTGGTGGCCCATGTCTGTAATCCTAGAACTTTGGGAGGCCAAGGAGGGGGATCACCTGAGGTCAGGAATTTGAGACCAGCGTGACCAACATGGTGAAACTTTTTCTTCACTAAAAAATACAAAAATTAGCCTGTCATAGTGGTGGTCACCTGTATTTCCAGCTACTCGGAAGGCTGAGGCAGGGGAATCACAGGAGGCAGGGGTTGCAATGAGCCAAGATCATGCCATTGCACTTCAGCCCAGGTGACAGAGTAATACTCTGTCTCAAAAGAAATGAAAAAACAAAAAAAGAGTCAAGCCATTAGATGTACAATCTAAGTTATTTGAGGTACAAAGTGGGAGCTGAGATTTTTGACTACTTGAGATCCCTTAAGCCAGGGGGAAACCATTTCAGAAGTGCTTGAATGTCTATTTAAATCCCCATTTTTTCTTGGAGGTCCTAGTGACAGGTGAAGCCACCTGGACTTCCTGGGTCAAGTGAGGACTTGGAGAACTTTTCCCTCTAGCTAAAGGATTGTAAACACACCAGTCATCACTCTAAAAATGCACCAATCAGCACTCTGTGTCTAGCTAAAGGATTGTAAATGCACCAATCAGCACTCTCTAAAATGGAACAATAAGCACTCTGTAAAATGGACCAATCAGCACTCTGTAAAATGAGTCAATCAGCAGGTCGTGCATGGATCCAAATAAGGGAATAAAAGCTAGCCACCTCACCCAGCATCAGCCACCTTCTTGGGTCCCCTTCTAAGCTCTGGAAGTTTTGTTCTTTTGCTCTTCACAATAAATCTTGCTGCTGCTCATTGTTTGGGTCCACACCACCTTTAAGAGCTGTAACACTCACTGTGAAGGTCTGCAGCTTCATTCTTGAAGTCATTGAGACCACAAGACCACTGGAAGGAAGAAAGTCTAGGCACATCTGAACATCTGAAGGAACAAACTCTGGATATGCCACTTTAAGAGCTGCGAAACTCACTGTGAAGGTACGCGGCTTCATTCTTGAAGTCAGCAAGACCAAGAACCCACTAGAAGGAATAAATTCCAGACACATTATGGCAACCATGAAGGGACTATCACCTATCACCAAGCAGTGAGTACCATCAGACACCTTTCACTTGCTATTCTGTCCTATTTTTCCTCAGAATTCTGGGGCTAAAAAACCAGCCACCTGTAAGCCAGTTAAAAGTGACTAGCATGGCCGCTGGACTAAAGACATGGGTGTCATGCTTTCTGGGGAAGTGCTGTCTAACAAGCCCCAACTCTTCAGATTTGGGAGCATTGGTTTGCCTGCAACCAGCTTCTGCTTTCCCTATACCTCTGGGCTGAGCTGGGGGTCAACAGAGAGGAAAGCCATTCAGCTCCAAAGTCCCAATAACAAGTTGGTTAATGCTGCAGCCATGAGTAGTACTCTCAAAGTCACGTTGCACAAGTGAGACTCGCCCATCTATCCTATCTATCCTGACATCTGACCTTTGCTTCCTGGGTCCTAATACCTGTCAGACAAACTTCCTCTTGTCTCTTCTCTGAGGCTAGCCCTGCTTCTGAAAACCACTCCCTGTCTCTGGTGCTTTTCTAGTTTCTCTGCTAAGAATGATTTCTAGTATAAACTCCAGGACTCTATTCCCTTCTTTAGGCACCCGGGCTTACCAATCAGAAAGATATAATTTTAGCCCAAAGCCCCACTGGGGGACTGGGGGAACATCTTATCTAGAATTTTAGGATCTCTCTTTAGACTAGCAGGCCTAACAAAAGCTACTCCTGAAGCTAGGGTATGGGGAGCTTCAGAAATGGTATCCTTCCTATTCAAGTGAGGACAAAAGGCATCACTCTTCCAACCCTGGATAACATTTCCCTCTCTCAGGGTATGGCCCTCCACTTCATTTTTGAGGTGTAATATCTTTATAGGACAGGGGCATAGTCCCAATACTAATGGGAGAATGCTTAGGACTCTAACAGTTTTTCAAGAATGCATCAGTAAGTGCCACTAAATCCGATTTTTCTTGGTCCTCTTTGTGGTCTAGGAGGACAGGAAAGGGTGCAGATTATTGAGAATACATCAGTAAGGGACACTAAATCTGACCTTCCTCAATCTTCTTTGTGGTCTTGGAGGAAAACTAGTGTTTCTGCTGCTGGGTCAGTGAGCGCAACTATGCCAATCAGCAGGGTTCAGGGACCATTGCAGTTCTTGGGCAGGGGAAGAAACAAACAAACCAAAATTGTGGGAAGTTTTGTCTTTCAGATGGGAAACACTCAGACATCAACAGGCTCACCATTGCAGTGCATCCTAAGCCATCGGGACCAATTTGATCCACAAATCCTTGACAAAGAGGTGGCTCATTTTTTTCTTCACTATTACCAGGCCTCAATATTCTCTCCAATGGGGAAAAATGGCCAACTGAGGGAAGTAAAAATTAAAATACTATCTTGCAGTTTGACCTTTTCTATAAGAGAGAAGGCAAGTGGAATGAAATACCTGATGTCCAAGTTTTATTTTCATTGAAGGAGAATCCACAGCTTTGCAAAGCTTGCCATTTACATCCCACAGGAGTACCTTTTAGCTTACCCCTATATCCTAGCCTCTGTATAGCTCCCCTTTCTATTACTGATAAGCCACCTCTAATCTTCCCCCTGCAGAAGGAAACAAGCAAAGAAATCTACAGAGGACCACAAAAAAACTCCGGGCTATTGATTATGTCCCCTTCAAGATGTAGGGGGAGGGGAATTTTGCCCAACCTGGGTACATGTCCCCTTCTCTCTCCCTGATTTGAAGCAGACCAAGGCAGACACAGGGAAGTTTTCAGATGATCCTGATAGGTACATAGATATCTTATAGGGTCTAGGGCAAACCTTTCACCTCACTTGGAGAGATGTTATGCTAATGTTAGATCAAATCCTGGACTTTAATGAAAATAATGTGGCTTTAGCTGCAGCCCAAGAGTTTGGAGATACCTGGTATCTTAGTCAAGTAAATGATAGAATGACAGCTGAAGAAAGGGACAAATTCCCTACCAGTCAGCAAGTCATCCCCCATATGGATCCCCACTGGAAACTCAACTCAGATTATTGGGACTGGAGTCACAAACATCTGCTGACCTGTGTTCTAGAAGGACTGAGGAGAATTAGGAAAATGCTCCTGAACTATGCAATGATGTCCATCCTAACTCTGGGAAAGGAAGAAAATCCTTCTGCCTTCCTCGAGTGGCTATGGAAGGCCTTAAGGAAATCTACTCCTCTGTCACCTGATTCCCTTGAGGGTCAATTGACTCTGAAAGATAAGTTTATTACCCAATCAGCTGAAGATATCAAGAGAAAGCTCCAAAAGTCAGCGCTGGACCCTGAACAAAATCTGGAGGCATTAGTAAACCTGGCAACCTCAGTGTTCTCTAATAGCTACCAAGAAGACCTGGCCAAAATGGAAAAGTGAGATCAGAGAAAGGTTGCAGCCTTATTCATGGCCCTCAGACAAACAAACCTTGGTGGTTCAGACCGGACATAAAATGGAGCAGGCCAATTACCAGGTAGGGTTTCTTACCAGTGTGGTTTGCAAGGACACCTTAAAAAAGTTTGTCCAACAAGAAACAAGCTGTCCCCTGGCCCATGTCCACTCTACCGAGGCAATCACTGGAAGGCTCTCTGCCCCAGAGGACAAAGTTTCTCTAGGCCAGAAGCCCCCAACCAGATTATCCAACAACAGGCCTGAGGGTGTCTGGGTCAAGTGCCAGCTCATGTCATTACCCTCACTGAGCCCCAGGTACATTTAACCATTGAGGGCCAGGAAATTGACTTCCTCCAGGACACTGGTGTGGCCTTCTCAGTGTTAATCTCCTGTCCTGGACAGCTGTCCTCAAGGGCTGTTACTATCTGAGGAATCCTGGTTTGGCCTGTAACCAAGTGTTTCTCCCACCTTCTCAGTTGTAACTGGGAGACTTTGCTCTTTTCACATGCCTTTCTTCTTATGCCTGAACATCCAATACCTTATTAGGGAGGGACATATTAGCCAAAGCTGGAGCTATTATCTACGTGAACATAGGGAACAAGTTACCCATTTGTTATCCCCTGCTGGAGGAGGGAGTCAACCTTGAAGTCTGGGCACTGGAAGAAATAAACTCAAGCTCCAGCCTTAAGCCTTCTGAGAGGACAAAACTTTTATTTATATGCCAGAGAGAGAGTAGGAATAGCTCTTGGAGTCCTTACTCAGACTCATGGGACAACCCCACAACCTGTGGTATACCTAAGTAAGGAAATTGATGTACTAGAAAAAGGCCAGCCTCACTGTTTACTATTAGTTGTGGCAGTGACCATCTTAGTGTAAGAGGCTGTCAAAATAATATGAGGAAATGATCTCACTCTCTGGACTACTCATGATGTAAAGGGCATAGTAGGTGCCAAAGGAAGTTTATGGCTATCAGACAACAGCCTGCTTAGATACCAGACACTACTCCTTGAGCGACAGGTGTTTCAAATATGCACATATGTAGCCCTCAACCCTGCCATTTTTCTCCTAGAGGATGGGAAACACTAGTCAAGCATGACTGCCAACAAATTATAGTCCAAATTTATGCTGCCCGAAAGCCTCTCTTAGAAAGCTCCTTAGTTAATCCTGACCTTAACCTATATACCAGTGAAAGTTCATTTGTGTAGAATGGTATATGAAGGGCAGGCTATGCCATATTTAGTGGTGTAAGGGCACTTGAAAGTAAGCCTCTTCCCCCAGGGACCAGCGCCCAGTTAGCAGAACTAATGGCACTTACCCAAGCCTGACAATGGGGAAACGGAAGAAGAATAAATGTGTGTATTGATAGTAAGTATGCTTATCTACTCCTACATGCCCATCCTGCAATATGGAAAGAAAATGAGTTCATAACCTCGGGGGGAAGCCCCATTAAATATCACAAGGAAACCATGGAGTTATTGCACACTCTGCAAAACCCAATGTGGTGGCAGTGTTCCACTGCCGAAGCCATCATAAGGGGAAGGAGAGGGGAGAGCAGCAGCATAAGTGGCTGGCAGAGGCAGGAAAAGACCAGCAGAGAGAGAAGAGAGAGAAAGAGAGAAACAGAAGAAGAGACAGAAATTCAGAGAGAGTGAGAGAGAAAGAGAGGAAGAGACAGACAAAGAGGGGGTCAGAGAAAAAGAAAAAGAAAGAAAGAGACAAGGTCAAAGACAGAAGGAAAGAGAGAGAGGAAGAGACAGACAAAGAAGGAGTCAAAGAGAGAGAAAGAGATTGAAGTAGTAAAGAAAAAGCAGTGTATCCTATTCCTTTAAAAGCCAGGGTAAATTTAATAACCATAATTGATAATTTAAGGTTTTCTCAATGACCTCTAACACCCCAATACCACCTTGTTGTCATTGTAAACAAGGGCATAGTCTGAAAGCACTGAGGCCACTGAGAACCCCTAGACCTCCTATCAAAAAATTTTAACTCAGCAGGATTCCTAACGGGGATCTAAGGATCAAAGTCTTAACTAATTACCATACAAAGGTCCAACAAGACCTAGGAGGAATTTCCTTCAGGACAGGATGATAGATGGTTCCTCCCAGGTTATTAAGGGAAAAAGACGCAATGGGTATTCAGTAAATGATAAGGGAACTGTTGTAGAAGCAGTTAGGAAAATTGCCTAATAATTTGTCTGCTTAAATGTGCGAGCCGTTTGCCCTCAGCCAAACCTTAATGTACTTACAGAATCACGAAGGAGCCATCTATACCATTTCTAAGTGAATAGGGACTGAACGAGGTCTTATTAATAGCAAAGAATACTTGAAATCCCAAACTTAGAAGGTTTTCAACAAAAGTAAAGTTTGCTAAAAGTTAACAGTGTAACATGTATTATCCTACTACCACACACTCTCAAAGGATTTCTCAGACAGTTTGTGAAAAATAACAAAATCTATCCTTTCTCTACAATCCCAAATAGACTTTTTGGCAGCAGTGGCTCTCCAGAACCACTGAGGCCTAGACTCCCTCACTGCTGAGAAAGGAGGGCTCTAAACCTTCTTAAGGGAAGAGTGTTTCTTTTACACTAACCAGTCTGGGATAGTATGCAATGCCACCCAGCATTTAAAGGAAAAGGCTACTGAAACCAGACAATGCCTTTCAAACTCTTATACCAACCTCTGGAGTTGAGCCATATGACTTCTCCTCTTTCCAGGTCCCATGACAGCCATCTTGCTATTACTTTCCTTCAGGTCCTGTATTTTTAACCACCCTGCCAAATTTGTTTCCTCTAGGATTGAGGCCATCAAGCTACAGTTGATCTTACAAATGGAACCCCAATGAGCTCAACTAATAACTTCTACCAAGGAACCTGGATCAACCCACTGGCCCTTTGGCTGGCCTAGAATATTCCCCTCTGGAGGACACTACCACCAGAGACCCCTTCTTTACCTCTATCCAGCAGTAAGTAGCTAGGGTGGTCATCACCCAATTCCCAACAGCAGTTAGAGCATTGAGATGTGAAGACAGCTAGACTTCATGGGTTGAGTGGGGACAGGGAGGACTTTTCTGTCTAGCTAAATGATTGTAAATGCACCAATCTGCACTCTGTGTCTAGCAAAAGGAATGTAAATTCACCAGCACTCTGTAAAAAAGCATCAATTATTGCTCTGTGTCTAGCTAAATGATTTTAAACACAACAATCAACGCTCTGTAAAATGGACCAATCAGCACATTGTAAAATGGATCAATCAGCAGGATGTGGGTGGGGCCAGATAAGGGAATAAAGCTCGCCAACCCACCCAGCAGTGGCAATCCATGCAGGTCCCCTTCCATGCTGTGGAAGCTTTGTCAATAAATCTTGCTGCTGCTCGCTCTGGGTCTGCACCAACTTTAGGAGATTCAATACCAGCCATGAAGGTCTGCAGCTTCATTCTTGAAGTCAGGGAGACCAGGAGGTCCCCTGGGAGAAGGAAGAAACTCTGGACATATCTGAACATCTGAACGAATGAACTCTGGACACACTATCTTTAAGAGCTGTAACACTCTATGTGAAGGTCCACGGCTTCATTCTTGAAGTCAGAAAGACCGAGAACCTACCAGAAGGAACCAACTCTGGAAACAATATGCCAAACTCAGTGTTTCAGGGCTATAATTGCAACACTTTGGGAGGTCAAGGAAGGAGGACACTTAAGCCTGGGAGTTTGAGACCACCCTGAACAATATATCTGAAGCATTGTCCTTGCCACACACACACACAAAAGTGGGGCACAGTGGTGTGTGTCTGTAATTCTTTCTACTTGAGAGGCTGAAATGGAAGGCTCACACATTTGAACCCAGGAGTTCAAGGCTGCAGTGAGTTACAATGGTGCTGCTGCAGTCCAGGCTGGACAACAGTGTAACCTTGTGTCTAAAAAGAAAAAAAATGATAAGTGCTTGAACTGAAGGATACACTATTTATTATTTATATATTTATTGATTTATATAATTATTTGTGACTTGGAGTCCCACTCTGTCACCCAGACTAGAGTGCATGGTGCAATATCAGCTCACTTCAGCCTCAGGCTCACAGAGACAAAAAAATTATCCTTCCTGAGTCTCCCAATTAACTACTACTAGTTAACATACTACTAGCATGGGCCACCAAGCCCAGCTAATTGTTGTATTTTTGGTAGAGATGGGGCTTCAGGGTTTTGGCCAGGCTGGTCTTGAACTCCTGACCTAATGTGATCTGCAAGACTTGGCGTCCTAAAGAGCTGGAATTAAAGAACTGAGCCATCACACCTAGACAATAACATATACAAGACTAGGGAGTTTTATCCTTTCACTTCATCCTCACAATGCTACATTATAAGTGAATGAAAACAAAACTTCATATCATGAATAAATCACTTGAAAACAAAAGTTGGTAATTTCTCCCTTGAAAATTATTTGCACACTTACCCTGTAAAAATTGATGATCTTGCCAGAATTTTACCAATAAAATACTTTTTCCCTGAAGATTAGTCTGTTAATTGTAAGAATTATGAACTGTAAAACTTCTGGAACTTCATGTATTTCATTTCTTTAGGGTGTATAATCAGGAAAATGGAGAAACCTGGTCTCTACTAAAAACACAAAATTAGCAAGGCATGGTGGTGCATGCCTGTAATCCCAGCTATTCGGGAGGCTGAGGCAGGAGAATTGTTTGAACCCAGGAGGTGAAGGTTGCAGTGAGCTGAGAAGGTGCCATTGCACTCCAGCCTGGGCAACAAAAGTGAGATTCCATCTCAAATAATAATAATAATAATAATAATAATATTTTAATTGCTAATGTTTTCAAAGATGGATGATATTAAAGGCTGAAGAAAAGGCTGGGCACAGTGGCTCATTCCTGCACTCCCAGCACTTTGAGAGGCTGAGGTGGGTTGATCACCTGAGGTCAGAAGTTCAAGACCAGCCTGGCCAACATTTTGAAGCCCCGTCTCTATTAAAACTACGAAAATTAGCAAAGTGTGATGGTGGATGCCTGTAATCCCAGCTACTCAGGAGGCTGAGGCAGAAGAATCACTTGAACCAGGAGGCAGAGGTTGTAGTGAGCCGAGATCATGCCATTACACTCCAGTCTGGGCAACAGAGCGGGACTCCGCCTCAAAAGAATAAAGAAAAAAAAAAGTCAAGGCATTAGATGCACAATCTACGTTCTTCGAGGTACAAAGTGGGAACTGAGCTTTCTTGAGTGTGTGAGATCCAGTAAGCCAGGAGGAAACAGTTTCAGAAGTGCTTGAATGTTTACTTAAATCCGTCTTTTATCTTGGAGGTCCTAGGAGAATTATGAATGCAAGTCTGTGTTAGAATCCAGAGATAGGCAAGCTAGGTATCATTTTGTGGAGAAGCAGCTGTAGCATTTAACAGGTGGGGTGCTACATATGTGATTTAATACTTCGGTCATCTGAGAGAAGCTGTGAAATAATAGTTCTCTATTCATTCTAGGGCACTGTGTCAGACATAAACTCTAGAAAAAATTTATGATTCAGTTTTTATTACCTCTTTTTAAGTGAGTATTTTCATAATCGTATGTGTGCAAGAGTATCTCAAATACTTTCTGTGTTTATCTCACAGGGAATTGATGTGGGTGAGGCATTTTATTTGTTGCATTTGTGGATGCAGGGACAAATTAGAGCCTCCCATTTTATCACCTTAATGGAGATACCCTTTCTATTATTTCTTTTACTTATTTTAAAAAATTGTATGTAACGTTTGTAGATACTTTTGGTGATATCATGTGATATTATATGATATTTGATACAAGCAATGTATACTGGTAAGGAAGGTATCATAGAAGGGTTGGGGGTGGGTTAAATGACAGTTGCTTAGAAGGAATACGATCCAGTGTTCGGTAGCCCAGGATGACTACACTTAATAATGGTTTATTGTATATCTCAAAAGAATTAAAAGAGTGAAGGTGGAATGTCACTTATACTGACAAATGATATGCCAGACTCAGTGGCTCACAGCTACAATCACAACACTTTGGGAGGCCAAGGAAGGCGGATCACTTAGGCCTGGAATTTTGAGACCAGCGTGAACAATATATACGAAACATTGTCCCTACCATACATGCACAAACACAAGAGCTGGGGATGGTGGTGTGTGTCTGTAATTCCAGCTACTTGGGAGGCTGAAATGGAAGGTTTGCACATTTGAACCCAGGAGTCCAAGGCTGCAGTGAGCTATGATGGTGACACTGCAGTCCAGACTGGACAACATAGTGAGACTCTGTCTCTAAAAAAGAAAAAAAAGAAATAACTAGTTGAACTGATGGATACATTATTACTTATGTATTTGTTGATTTATATAATTATTTTTAGTTGGTGTCTCACTCCATTACCCAGGCTAGAGTGCATGGTGCAATATCGGCTCACTGCAGTCTGAGGCTCCCATGTTCAAACGATTCTCTTGTCTGAGCCTCCCAATTAACTGTAACATAATACAGGCATGGGCCACCATGCCCGGTTAATTTTTGTATTTTTGGTACAGATGGGGTTTCATGGTGTTGGCTAGGCTTGTCTTGAACTCCCGACCTAAAGTGATCTGCAAGCCAATATCCCCCTTCAGTCACAGAATGCTTCAAGTAGATTGTTCCAGATGTCTTAAACTTTAGTATCAACCACATCTAATTATTTCCTTTGACCTGTACTATTACTCTATAAGATAAACATTGTATGGTGAGGCAAACAGTTTTGTAGTGTTTCTGGAGATTTCGCTAATGTTTTAATCTTGTAATTTTTTAAAGAGAAACACAGCCTAATTAGAAAACTTATGCAACTTGAAAGGGAGACATAATATATGCCTGATTTTGTATCTATTTATGTTCAAAGAAACAAAGTGTTCACAACGCAATTTACTCTTCTATTTAATTTGCTTTTAAGCATGTGTAGCTAAGCAGTAACATCAGGCATTTTGCATTACATGTAAAAATTGATTATGAAAATTTTATTCCAGATATTATAACTAACAGTAACAAGTATGAAATTACTTTGAAAAAAATTCATTTTCCTTTAAATAGCTCAAAAAATTCATGGAGTAAGTTAGTTTCTGCATTTCTACCTCTCTCCACAAAAACAAGTTTCTTTTAGTAAGACACATGTAACAAGGCAGAAATAAAATTTCAATGTTCGATTTGCAAACAAGGTTTAGTATGCAATAACTATTATTTTGAATACTTGCTTTAATATCTACTTCAGTCTCCTTTTTCAGATCGGCTTCTGCCACCATCTCCTATAGATGTCACATAACTTGAGCTACCATAGGCTTCACAAGGAGCAG